>NC_000020.11:520880-672395 GCF_000001405.40 Homo sapiens | reverse complement strand
CACACACGAGCAATGCTCTTCTTTGCCTTCCTACTCCCTTTCAGCCTCTACCGCCAGGCAGAACAGAGGGTGCAGCAAGTCTGTCTGTGCTCCAGGGTCCCCCCAAGCCCACAGAACTCCTAAACAGGGAAGGGGAGCCCCTCAAATGAAGAAAGCACCAGGTCTCTCTGCAGAGCTCCCTGATAAGTGGGAATAGATCTAATTTCATTGTCCCCTCAAGTAAGATGCCTCTCTTGCTCCTCCACTGCTTTCCCTTCCCCTCTTCTCCCCTGGGTGATTCTGAGCACAGACTCAGTCTTTCTGGGAGATGCCAACTTACATCATCCTAACCCTCTGCTAACCTCACCCTCCAACTCCACCAGGCCCTCCCCACAGACCGGGGCCCCCATCTGAAGGATACTGGGACTCTCAGCCACCCCAAAGAAGGTGGCCCACCCACATGCATGTCAGTGGTCTCTGTGGGCCCCTGCCAAGAATATCTTCTGGAGTGTCTGCCTCCCCTCCACCTTAACTCCGAACCCCAGCTTGGAGCCAGGCCCCCCTTCCTCTGCATCCCCGCCCTGTCCTGCCCTCCTGCCCTCTCAGAGTGCATCCAACCCAGGCAGATGAGGGATCAATGCCAATCCAATAACACAGTTGTCTGCCCTCTGCAGCTACATTAAGCCTCCCCCAGCAAGCTGAGGAAACTCTCCTACTTCTACCCATGGGCTTATCTAGCTGACCACATTAAACCAGCGCCCACTTCCTCTCACTCCCTCTGATGGTGCCGGGTAGTCGCTCCAGGCCAAGCCCGGGAGCCCGGCCCAATGTCCCCAGCTGCCACACATCCATTCCACACCTCAGAAAGCTCCTCTGGGGAGCAGCAATGCAAAAGGGCTTCCCCAGTCTTTTGGAAGAGCAAGCACAGAGAAGGCTGGGGAGGTGCCCATGGACACACAGCAGACCCATCTGAGTCTTCTCTAACCACCCCTTTCCCTGGTAACTTGGCCTTGGTCCAGGTCCAAGGTCCAGGTTAAAGACATGTCAGAGGCCCAGGTTCAAAGTCTAGGTCAAGGTCCAACATTCAGTCCAACATCCAAGTACAGATCTGAGGTCCAAGTCCAATGCCTACGTCAAACTTCAGGTATAGGACCAGGTCCAAGGACTAGGTCCAAGGTCAGTGTCTGAGGTTATAGGTCCAGGTCTGCTATCCAGGACAAATCCATGTCCAATTTCAAATTTCAATACCTATGAACAGGTCCAGGGCAAAGTGCTGGGTCCAGAATCAAGATTCAGGCCCAGTTTCCAGTCCAAGGTCATTGTCCAGATCCGCTCTCAAGGCTGGGCTGAGTTCAAGTCTTAGACTCACCATTAGCCTTCTGTGTGGCCTTGGCCTAGTCTCCCCTCTCCTCCCAGCCTCTGTTTTCCTTTCATAATATCAAACGGTTGAATATGATCTCTTTCAGCTTTGACCTTCTAGGGACCCAGAAATCTAATATTCCTGTGAATTAACAGGGCTCAGTGGAAGTGTGGAATGATGAGGCCCATGTGAGATATGGAATCTGGGAACCCCTGATTTCCTCTAAAGCCTGGGGTTACGAGAGGGACGTGAGGGTCCTGAGCTGAGCTTCCACACTTTAGATAGTCTCAGTCTTTGATTGCTGAAGGAGGGCCAGAGAGTACACCAAGTCCCTTATGTCAGTACAGCAATCTACACATCCCAAAGGCACTCTCTGGCCACACAAATCCACAGTGGGCAAAGGGCAGCGGGGGGCAGGGGAGGATTCACTCCAACCTACAGAGGCAAAACTGAGGTCACAGAGAGGCCGTGACTTGCCCAAAGTCACAAGAGCATAAACGGTGCACCCTGTCACACCTCCCTAGTGGGTGCTACATCCACAGGTTTTAGGGGCCCCCACAGCCTGGAGGCCCTCTGCCGGGAGAGATGGGGTCCCTCGGGCCTCTTGGTCTCTTTCCCAGCTGTGGACTCCCCTGAAGTGAAGCGTCTACTGCCAGGCCAGCCTTTGGATAGGGAGGGGTTTGGAATGGGCCCTCTGAGTGCACCCTTCTAGAGAGAGAGGCGGCAGAGCAGAAAGTAGGAGGCCGGGGGAAGAGGTGGAGCACTGCACAACACACCCAGTCTCCGGAACGAGGCCCAGAAAGGGCCCACTGGAGATCCCCCCCGAGGGAGCAGGAGGCAACTCTACGAACCCAGGCTGGGCAAATGAAGACCCTGAGCCACTCACTCTCATCTCCATACCCCCCTGAAAAATCTTTCCTATTGATTCCTGCAGAGCTCTGGACCTCCCTGTAGGCCACAGGAATTGGGTCACAGTCAGGAAAGACCAGAATGTGGGGAATTCCAAGAGATGGGGGTGGTGGGGAAAAGCCTTGAAATTCTCTCAAAGTTCCTTGGGCCTGGGTCAGTGGGCATCAGCCCCAAGCCATGCAGCGTTGGTCATGTTGGGCCAGACCTCACTCTGTCCCCTGCTCATTTGGGCACAGGGACCTCCTCCCCGTGGGCAGATGTACCAGCTGCCAGGCCTTTGGAGGAGGTGGGTGTCATTTCTGGTCCAGTGCCCAGGGAACCGCTAACAAAGATGCTATAATAAGGGGAGGGGGAGGTACCCAGCCCCTTTGCCCAGCTCTGTGAGCAGACAGGAGAAACTATTTTTATCCCGCTTTGCTGCTGACAGACCTGGCTTTCTGCTCAGCTGGCTGGAGCTGATTCTCGAGGCCCGAGGCCCTGGCACAGCAAGAAGCAGCTCTAAATATACCCATACAGCAGCTCCTCCAGCCCCTACCACCCAGCAGGGCCCAGCCCTCCTCAGGAAAGTGGGCCGCCGGGGAAGCTGGCCCCCCACCAGGCCCCTGTCTTTTTCTGCCCATTTTAGGACAGAGAGGTGAGGCTGAGGCTAGGAATTCCCTGGAGAAAGTTTGGCACCTTGGGAGTCTGGGAGAGACTGGGGAAAGGAGTCCTGGACTGAAAAAAAGGAAAGAAAAGGAGGCCAACCCAGCTCTGATGAGAACTTGTTTTGTGACCTGAGGTGGGTCAAGGCCTTTGTCTGGGCTTCAGCTTCTGCAGAACAAGGGCATGGAGGGAAGTGACCTTAGACATGAGCTAATGTGCACAAAGCATTTAGCAGGATGCCTTGCACCAAGTAAGTGCTCAGTAAGTGATAGGCATTACTGTTATTAAGTATGATTTACAAATACTTACAAGAGGCTGAAGCATTTTCCACAACAGCTTCTCCATGCCCCCACCACCCCGTGCCCCCACCCACCCCACCACAGGCTAACTAGGGAGTGTTTGAGGAAACGCACCACCCCTTCCCCTACCAATTGAAGATCTCTTCCCCAGCAAGTCTCCATGCCCTCTCTGGTGTTTTGGAAAAAACACAGGCCTTGGAGGGTTTCAAACCTGCCGCCTCCCTCTCAGTGACCTTGGGCAAATCCTCTCCCCTCTCTGGGCCTCTGGGCACAGGGCAATGTCTGGCTCACAGGGAGGCTGGTGCTAGTTGGAAGCACCAGCAGTAGCAGTAGCAGTATTTGTTACACATCCCCCTCCATCCCCGCAGGGGGTCAGGCAGCTAAATGAGACAGTGTCTGCAGAGGGCCCAGCACCTTAGTTCTCATAAATTTCCCTTTCACCACTCCTTTGAGTACCGATTTTTAAAAAGACAGATTCTGGACCTTCAGTCTAAAATATCAAGACTCTTGGGCAGGGAAAACCAAAGTCATTTCCAGGTGACATGTGCACATCTCCAAAGTATTTCTGGGCCCTCCCCATATCCCTACATGACAGGGGTGCCTCTGGTCCACATTCCTCAAATGGAGGATTTGAGCCCAGATAAGTTATGCGACTTACCCAAGGTCACATGGCTACGGCCTGAATTCAAGGGCTAGGATGAGAGATCTCACCTGAGATTCTCTTTTCTCTGAATCCCAGCTCATCCCTATCTCTGTGGGAACCCAAACAAGAGTCCTGTCTCACCCTGTCAGTTGCAGGATAGGTATCTCAGCCTTCTATAGTCACTCTTAGGGCAGAGGAAGGTACCTGTCTGGGTTCCATGCATTAGGTTAAAGTATGGCTTTTAGTGTCCTAAAGGAGTCTCCAGGGTTGAGGCTCAGAGAGGTGAGGTGGTTTGCTCAAGGTCACACAGCAGCCTAAGACACCCATGTGTATCTCCTACTCTCTGGCAGATTAGAAGGATATATCACCAGGAAACACAGGAATACTACCAGTAACAATAATAACAGCTCAAGAGGGCAGCTATTATGTGTCAGGCATTGTCCTAAGCACTTTACATGCATTCATTTATTCAGCCTTATTATGAACTCCCTTATACAGGTGTGGCAGAAAGATGTTAAGTAACTTGCCCAAGGTTGCCTAGGGAGATGTCTGTGAATCTGAGGAAAACGGGGTGGAATTGGAGGAGCTGGGAGTGGAGGGGACAAAGAGCATCATGGAGGGACTGATTCAGCCATGATGCAGAAAGGGTCTTTAGACCATTCCAGTCCATCTTTGTCATGTATAGATTCCGCCCAGAAAGGTTAAGCAACCTGGCCACAGTCACAAAGCAAGTTAGAACCACCTCCTCCTAACATGACCACACAAACTCTCACAGGATGCTCTCAACCCATGCCAAAATCCACTGACTGGGTGTCTGGTCTGGGCTCACAATTCCTATCCTGAAGACACTTCTGCAGCCCTCCCTAGGCAAATGAGCAGCCTTTGTTGAAGGCACCCCTATTTCTTCATAAAGAGCCCCTTGCAACAGGAGGAAAGTCAACAGCGCTGAGGGCCACCAGCAGAGGGCGCCATGGGCAGAGCACCTCATGGAGAACGCTCTGGTTCACTGATGGAGCTCCTACTATGCACCAGATATTTTCCCATCAGAACGTGAAATAGAAATTACACATCCCGGGTGAGGAAACAGAGGCCCAGAGAGGAGCAGCACGATGTGTTGGGGCAGATGCCAAGAAAGCTGCAGCACAGAAACCCATCTGGGGAGATTGTTATTATTGTTCATAATAACAGCCAACATGCGTGGTGGATTTAAAATGTGCCAGCCACTGAGCTGGAATCCTGGCTCTAACTTATCAGCTGCACAATCTTAGGCTTGTTACTTAGCTTCCTTGTGCCTTGGTTTCCTCTTCTATAAAAGGGTACCTACCACCTTGTGTGTCATGGGGGTAGAATGCTTTCATGTGTGGAAAGCCCTTGTAAGAGTGCCTGACACAGGAGTGCTCTGAGAGTGCTGGTTATCATTTGTTTATATACTGTTTACTGGCAGACCCCTTACTGAAACGGTAGAGTCACACAGAGGCCAAATCGTTTGGCCAAGGTCACACTGCTGGGAATGGTAGAGCCAAAACAATCCAGGCCGTCTGGCACCAAAGTTTTACTCTTATCCAATATGTCATCCTTTAATAATAGAACTCAAAGCACTGGTTACGTGATCAGTCACCCCTCCAGATAAATCCCATTTTAAAAAAAAAGGACCTGAAGCACAACCCACCCAAAGGCACTCAGCTGGAATCTGTGTTGGAGAACCAAACCACCCTTCCCCTTCCATGGCCCCAGACACATGAGATGCAGACCTGCCCTGAGACCAGGTGAACAGGACTGTCTATACCAGGTCCTGCTAGGCTGGGGAGTGAGGCTGGCCTCGCAAATCATCATCACTCATTCCACAAATACTTATTAAGTGCCCACTAGCTAGGGCCCTGGGAATGGGAGGTGAACAGCTCAGCCACAGCCCCCTCCTGGAGGACCTCCCAGTATGTGGGAAACCAAGGGGGCAGTGGATTCCAATCCTTGCTCCACCCCTGGAGCAAGTGCCATCACCACACTGTCCCTCAGTTTCCTTATCTGTGATGAGAGTAGTTTTGTGATGATTCAGTGAGATGATGGGAGCGAAGCACTTAGCACAGAGCCTGGTGCACACAGTAAGTGCTCAGTGAATATTAGCTATTATTATCATCACCAGGAATTACAACGTGAGGAAATACAGAAGGAGAAGGAGGGGGGTCTGGGAGTGCCTGACGGGTATTTAACTCAGTCTGAAACAACACTCCTGAATGTTCTGGGACCTGAGTACCAGGCCTGGTTCCCGGAGTGGGAAGCAGGGGGACCTCCAGACCACAGGCAGATGGGACGGGAGACATAGGGTGCGGAGAGGCTGGGCATCTCCTCTCCCCAGATTAAAAAATTGCCACTATCACTATCCCCCTTTACATCCAACCACAGAGCCCCCCGCTTCCGAGTCATCCACTTCCATAATCCACAATGACTTCTGTGTGCAGAGGGCCCTGTGCTGGCTGCTGAAGGGACAGAGGTAAAAATAAGGGCACACCCTTGCCTTCAGGGGCACACAGACTTCACCCTGTGTCCATCCCAAACTCCAGATGAGAGGCAAAGGCCTGGAGGCTGAATCAGCCAGGCTGTGTGGGAAACGAAAGCTGACCAGAGTACCCAGCTAAAAGTCTGAACATCTTGAACCCTGTTTCCCCTTACAAAACCCTCCTCCACCTGCTCACTTCAGTGAAGGAGGCTAGGGGAGGAGGGAAGGAGGAGTGGTTACAGGTCTCAGGGGTCACCAGGAGAAGGTCAAATCCCACTCCCCAGGTGGGAAACCTCCCAAACGGACCTAACCTTCATTGTTCTGTGGAATCACAGAACAATGGAATCACTTGCCCATCAAGTGCCAGGATGAAAAGTTTGTCTGCCAGAAACTCTCCAGGGAGCCCAGCCCCCAGGGTCTCAGGGAAGGTGCTAGGACCAGCCTAGGCCATGGGAGGCAGAGGCAAATCAGAATGGCCCCTGCCCATGAGAATCCCCTACGGAATCCCCAGGGAGACCCCAGCCTGCCCACCCACCAATCACTCAAACCCTTGGCAGACAGGATTCCTGGTCCAACTCCAGCTAAGTGGGAGGAGGAGGGGGAGGGGAATTCTCACTGCGGACTTCCGACGACTTCTAGAGCAGGCTTGGGAGCAGGTGCGAGGAAGTCCCCTTTCTGTAGCACCTATTACATGCCACACACTTGACCCCTGTTAAATGCTTCAGCAACCCTGGCAGGTGGGTCTAACTGGATTGTGATTCCTTCATGCAACATCTATTCATCGCACACCTACTTTGAGCCAGGCATGTGCTGGGCACACAGATCCAACCATGGGGAGCTCACAGTGTGGTGGGGGAGGAAACTATCTCCAAGCAAGTAAAAAGCATAATTATAATAGCTAACATTTATATAGCAATTACTGTATGCTCCCCCACCTTTGTTCATTTCCTTACACATCAAATGGGGATTACAATAGTGCCGACTTCCTTGGGTCTGTGACGATTAGAGTTAACATGCGTAAAGCACCGAGGCAGAGTCTGGCAAACAGTAAGAGCTTAACACACGCTTATTATCGTCACTTTACTCAGTCCTTCCAACGACCCTGGAAGGAGGTGTCCAATCACAAGCTCCATTTTGCAGATGAGAAAACTGAGATCCAGAGAAGTTACAGGGCTGCAACGGCAGCATGTTGTTGGAATAGAGACAGCATGGGCTTCAGGGTCACACTGGCAAGGGCTCCATCACTTCCTGACTGTAAGGTTAGACTGCTGCATCTCTCTGCGCCTCAGTTTCTCTACCTGTAGCGTGGGTATTATAAGACCATCACTCCGCGGTTGTGAGCACTGGATAGTGAAGGTACGCTCTGTACAACCGTGCTGGCCCCATGCTCCGTGGGTTGGGGTGGCGGCTATTTGCACTGCCGTCGATGGAGGAAGGAATTGAACCCAGGCTGCCTGACAGGAAGAGCTGAGGTGCAGGTCGGAGACCACCACTGTCGGAGCTGCCACAGGGGCGCCAAGCTGGAAGGCGCAAAGGGTGACGCGCTCAAAGCGGGAAACCCTCTTCGGCGCCTCCTCTCACCGCCCCTCCACTTCTCGCCCCCTCCAGGGTACGCCCCGCACCGCCTGCCCCCGAGCAGCTACGATGCGGACCAGAAGCCGGGCCTGGAGCTGGCCCCGGCCGAGCCCGCGTACCCGCCGGCGGCGCCGGAGGAGTACAGCGACCCCGAAAGCCCGCAGTCGAGCCTGTCGGCGCGCTACTTCCGAGGGGAGGCGGCAGTGACCGACAGCTACTCCATGGACGCCTTCTTCATCTCGGACGGGCGCTCGCGGCGGCGGCGGGGCGGGGGCGGCGGGGACGCGGGGGGCTCGGGAGACGCGGGGGGCGCCGGGGGGCGCGCGGGGCGCGCGGGGGCGCAGGCGGGCGGCGGGCACCGGCACGCGTGCGCCGAGTGCGGCAAGACCTACGCCACGTCGTCGAACCTGAGCCGCCACAAGCAGACGCACCGCAGCCTGGACAGCCAGCTGGCGCGCAAATGCCCGACGTGCGGCAAGGCCTACGTGTCCATGCCCGCGCTCGCCATGCACCTGCTCACGCACAACCTGCGCCACAAGTGCGGCGTCTGCGGCAAGGCCTTCTCGCGGCCCTGGCTGCTGCAGGGTCACATGCGCTCGCACACCGGCGAAAAGCCGTTCGGCTGCGCGCACTGCGGCAAGGCCTTCGCCGACCGCTCCAACCTGCGCGCGCACATGCAGACGCACTCGGCCTTCAAGCACTACCGCTGCCGCCAGTGCGACAAGAGCTTCGCGCTCAAGTCCTACCTCCACAAGCACTGCGAGGCGGCCTGCGCCAAGGCGGCCGAGCCACCCCCGCCGACCCCCGCCGGCCCGGCCAGCTGAGCCTTCCGCCTCGCCCTCGCGCCCGGAACTCGCTCTCCACGCGCCCCGGGCCCCCTACCTGCGCCCGCAGCGCCCTCGCCCAGCCCCGGCTGCGTTTCCCTGCCCATGACCCTCTCGTGGGGACCCCCGGCCCGGCCCGGAACTTTTCTCCCCAACCCCCAAACCCACGACTCACTTCCACACCGTCTTCCCCAGCGTCCCCCGACCCACTTCATCCTTTCCGGCCATCCCTCGGACCTTGACCCCCCTGTCCGCGCCTTCAAGGCTCCCAACTCAGGCACCAGGTCCGCACCTCTCCCGCGCCCCAGAGCCGGAAATTTCTCCCTCCCAGACCCCGCGCTGCTCTTCTAACTTCTAGATCTTTTCTCTCGCTTCTCAGCTGAATCTCTCTGACCATTCCTCTACTGGAGCCCCCAATGAAAGCCGCAAACCTATACCCTTGACGCCCATACCTGCCTCAGTTTCCCCATCCACACCTGGACGCAGGCCCTGCCGCCCTGAGACCACAGTCCAACCCCAGACCATCCCTCTGGCCTCTGCTGAATCTCCCAGAGTGTGTCCATCTGGGGATCTAATCTTCACCCTTCTTGAAGTCTCCGATCTGTCCCTGATCCCATCCATGCTCAGGCCTTAGGTCTGGCCATTCACACACACACACACCCCCACACCCCACTCCCACACACAGTTCCTACTGTCTTCAGTCCATGGGGATCTCATCACCCACTCCCAGCCCCAGCTCCAGCTGCCCTCACCTCTCTAGCAGCTCTCACCCCTCTGAGTCTACCTAACCTGGAGGGGGCTTGAGGGGCACTTCAGGGCCCTGCCCCCTAATGTAACCCCTCTCTCACCCCGGCACAACCTGGGCTTCCACAGTCTGGAGCTGCCCTACCCCCAGATTCTCTGAGCACTTTCCCCCATCCCCAGGGCCACAGATCCCCTTCCTTACTTGTTGGGGGGAGGTCTGGAGCACCTCGCCAATGCCCTTCCCCCATCCGGCTGGGTCCTTCCAGTTATTTATTTGTGTATTTATTTATTTATCTATTTATTATTCTATTTAATCTCTTGGCCTCACCCAGGGACCGTCTGGCTTCCCCAGCTGGACTGGGAGGTCAGGAAGCCAGGCAAGGAGAGGGACAGCACAGGCCACAGAGGGCTGCCCCCACCACACACACCCCCGCGTCTCGGGAGAAACCCACCCTCTTCAGAGCCTGCACTCGCTAAGGAAGGGGACTCGAGAATGGGGGGGCAGCTTGCTGACCCTCAACTGGGGGGGTGAGGGAGCATCAGGAGGTCCAGGCGTGGGGCAGGTCCCCACCTTCCTGAACCTTCCCCTGCCACTCCAGGCGGCCCGGAGAGAGGAGCCTCTTCGATTTGTTTCCTGTTTATTCTTCTTCCCGAGGGACCCCAGGTTCCAGGGACCGACTGAGCCCCGGACCCGCTGGGGCCTCTGGCCTGCTCCCCGGGAGGGGCGCTCTCTCCCGGCCATGTCTATGCAACTCTCCCGGACAGAGGGGCCGGGCTGCCAGCCACCCGCCCGTTGGCCGCCACTACCTCCTCCGCTGCGCTTTTGCATGCCCGGGCGAGGACCGAAGCACACACCTCCACGCGCACGGGCCCTGGCCCCCTCCGCTTTAAGCACACGCCTCTGCCCCATTGCTCTGCAGCCAGCTTGGGGGCAGGAGTCCTGGACTCTCAGATCCTCCTCTCCCCTCCTCTTAGCCACAAAAGAGGGGGGAGACTGGAGGCACCCCTGCAGCAGGGGCACTTCCCTAGGGCTCCAGAGGGGTGAATGGGCCTTTGCTCAGCTCCAGGCCCAGCGGGAAGGGAGGCTGCAGGGATGGTGGGAGGGAGAGGGGTAGCAGAAGCAATTATGGAGGCGTTGACCCTGTAAATAGCAACTTCTGACAGCAATAATTTTCCATGCATGCTAAGCCTTTTGGCCATATTTTGTATGAGCGCTTGGCGCTCCTCCTCCGTCCTATCCCAACTCACCCCCAAACCCCCATCCCTTCCCCACCTCCAGCAGTATTACTTGTAACGCAATTCAGGGATATTAAAGGGACTTTGGCCACTCACCATCGCCTCTAGACCTTCTGATTGGAGCAAGGGGTGGGGATGAAGGGGGGGAATGAGACGAAGGGGAGGGCATCTGAGAGATACTACTTTTCCACTCCATTTTCCTCTCTGTAGCCTGACCAGCCTGTAGCTGCCACCAAGGGTCACACAGCCCCAAGGGTCCCTTGGCATTTACAAGTTCTCAGGCATCCTCAATCCTTAATACTCCTCAAATAAGGGTTTAAAAACCAGATTAATAACATGTGAGTGAAGCCAGTTGCCTTAAGACATTAGGGAAGGTGAAGCCTGTGACTAATTGGAAAGAGTGTCTCACCTTAGAGAAATAGGATTCAAATTAACTACACCCACCAAACAGTTAAAACTGTGGTCCACATGTGTCTGTTGACAGCCAGTTTACAACCCCTATAATCTTCCCCAGTTCACCCCCTACTGCTCTGCCTAGTCATATATGGTCACATATTCAGTGAGTGGAAGCAGGCAAAAAGGTTGACTTTGGCTCAGCTGGAAAGTTGTCCAAAAACAGTGACTTGCCCCTAGAGCTTCTGAGCTGCCTGTCACCAAAAGTGTTCAAGGCAACCAATCCATCATCCTCGATAGCTGCCTTAGTGATCCTTCAAGATACAAATCTGTCTCACCTTACTAAAAACTTCACTGGGGACCACCAACCCCTGCCACCTACCCTCAACTCAGACTTACCAAGAAGCATAACCTGCATGCTTTGAGGGATGGGGAAGCTGCAGGCTAGAATCTGCCTCCTCTGGGGCCTCTTTGTCAGTTTCCTCCTGTGTAAGCAGTGCACTCAGTTTGTAGACTGCCTCCCTGGTGCCTGTCCGCCTTCCCTTCACACCCCTCTGGACAAGCAGCTGCATCCTGAGCAATGTGCTAGCTGTTTTTGACAGCAGCAGTTGTGGGAACCTCCCCACAACTCTGCAAAATCTCCAGTGGTTTCTTGTTGTTTTTTTTTTTGAGACAGAGTCTTGCTGTGTCACCCAGGCTGGAGTGCAGTGACGCAATCTCAGCTCACTGCAACTTCTGCCTTCTGGGTTCAAGCAGTTCTCCTGCCTCAGCCTCCCAAGTAGCTGGAATTACAGGCATGTGCCACCACGCCCGGCTAATTTGTTTTTGGTTTTTTTTTTTTTTTTTTGAGATGGAGTCTCGCTGCCTTGCCAGGCTGCAGTGGTGTGAGCTTGGCTCACTGCAACCTCCGCCTCCTGGGTTCAGGCAATTCTCCTGCCTCAGCCTCCCAAGTAGCTGGGACTACAGGCATGTGCCACCATGCCCAGCTAATTTTTCTATTTTTGGTAGAGACAGGGTTTCACCATGTTGGCCAGGATTGTCTCGATCTCTTGACCTTGTGATCCGCGCGCCTCGGCCTCTCCAAGTTCTGGGATTACAGGCGTGAGCCCCCGCGTCCAGCCAATTTTTGTATTTTTAGTAGAGACAGGTTTTTGCCATGTTGGCCAGGCTGGTCTCGAACTCCTTGCCTCAAGTGATCTGCCCGCCTCGCCAGTGGGGTTTTGAGAAACCCAGGCATCTGCTGCATCCCTTAACCACCCACATACACTGCCCGTGACTGGCTGTTGGATCCATTATGTTTGTTTTAGGTGCCAGGAACAGAAACCACTCTAGACAGGATTTTATAAACAAGTATTAAATTCCTTTGAAGGAGAAAGGATTTAATACTTCAATAATTGGCTGCTGACAAAATTTGTGTAAGGGCTGAAGTGAGCCATCTGCTGGACCCCAGAACCCCACTGCAGAACTGCTGCCACTGAGACAGCACCTGCCTCTTCCACAGTCAGTGGTGGGAGAGGGTGCGGAGTGGGGGTTGGTGGTGGTCAATAAGGTGCCCTGGAACTATTGAGATACAGAACACCGCATCATAGGTGCAAGCCAGGGATCAGCAGGCCCTTGCCACTGCCTCTATAACTATCTCCTGTCTCCCACTGTGCTGGTGGCACAATGCTGGAACACTGCTACAGAAAATCTTAACACCTCCAAGACAATCTTGACAGTAGCAAGAGTCAAAAGATGGAAGATGGCCCCGGCCCACCTCTGCCATCCATGTCTCATGAAAGTACATCTAACTGGTAGAACTTAATTCCCTGTTAGTATCTTTGCTGCAAAGAGATCTGAGAAATAGAGTTTTTAACTCTCCAACTAGGCAATCTAGAAGGCACCCTAGAGGGAGGTGGGAAAGAATGCTGGGTCTCCATCAGCCATATCCAGCCCAGTTATGTGGGTCCAATAACCATTCCACCCCACCCCTCTCTCCTGGATTAGCAACCACGCAATCTGGGGACTGAACATCAGCTTAAGAGGTAGTCTTTACTGGTCTAATACTAACATCTCCCATCGTTCAGAAATGGGCACATGACCCAATTCTGGCCAATGAGACTTAAGGAGAGGGTTGCTGGAAGGGTATGGAAAACTTTGCTGCTTCCTTTTTCTTAAGAGGAAAGGAAGTCCAGTTCCTCTTCCCCTCCAGTGTGAACAGAAAAGCATGTCATCTTGTGACCATGAAATGAACTGGCCTTAACGTGCCTCCCAAAAGCCCACCTCCTAATACCATCATACTGGGGGTTAGGATTTTAACATGAATTTTGGAGGAACACAAACATTCAGTCTATAGCATTCTGCCTCCGTCCCCATCCCCCGCCAAATTCACATCCTTCTCACATGCAAAATACATTCATTCCTTACATTCCAACAGCCCCAAAAGCCTTAACTCATTCCAGCATTAACTCTGAAGTCTAAAATCCAAAGTTTTATTATCTAAGTGTCATCTAAGTCAGATATGGCTGAGACTCAAGGTGTGATGCATCCTGGGGCAAATTGTTCTCCAGCGGTGAGCCTGTGAAATCAAGCAAGTTATCTGCTTCCAAAATACAATGGTGAGACAGGCATAGGATAGACCATTCCAAAAGGGAGAAATAGGAAAGAAGAAAGGAATAGCAGATCCAAATTACATCCAAACTACAAGGCAAACTCCATGAGATCTTAAGGCTCAAGAAAAATCATTTTTAGTTCATTAAATGCTCTGCTTCCAGGCCCACTGAGGCAGCCTTCCAGATCCACAATGGTGGTGGTCCCACCCTCTGTACCCTCTGGGGTGGTGGTCCTGTCCCTCCAGCTCTATCCCGCAGAAGTCATGTTCCCAGGGCTCTGGGTAGCCCCACACCAACAGCTCTGGGCAGCTCTTCCTCCATGGCTTTGGACAGAGGCCCTCTAACCTGCTGAATGCAAGGCAATGCTCCCGACTTTTGAAAGCAAGGAGATAGCCTTGATGATCTCTGAATTGCCTTCAGGGTCATTCTTCCCTTGTCTTGAAGAGTTTGCACTCTGGTCTTGTCCTGAAAAATCCAAGAAGTCAGACAGCTTTCCTTCCTCATCCCTTCCCATCTCCTTCCCCTTCAATTCAAGACGGCAGTTTTCCTGCTGGGATGGCTGATTACGTTCATCACCATTACAGTCTCCTTATGGAGACTATGGTGTTTTCTCCCAAACATTCTTTCTCATTCTTTGCAATATGGATAGGCTGAAAATTTTTCAAATCTTTACGTTTTGCTTCCTATTCGCTTAAAAGTCACATCTTTAACTCATTTCTTTCTGCTTCTATTTTACTATAAGCAGTCAGGAGGAGCCAAGCCACAGCTTCAACACTTTGCTTAGAAATAGCTTTAGCTAAATATTCCGTTTCATTGCTCACAAGTTCTACCTCCTATAAAACACTAGAACGTGGACATAATTCAGCCAAGTTCTTTGCCATTTTATAACAACATGGCCTTTTTTCCATTGTCCAATAATATCTTCCTCATTTCCTCATCCAAATGGCCTTTTTCATCTGTATTTCTACCAACACTCTGTTCAGGATTCCTTAGTTATTATCAGGTTCCTGATTTTAAAAATTAGAAGTTTTCTTTACAGTTCTACTGCACTCCAGCCTGGGTGACAAAGTGAGACCCTGTCTCAAAAGAAAGAAAAAGGACACTAATCTCATTCATGAGGGCTCTACCCCCATGAACCCCGTGACATAATCACTTCCCAAAGGCCCACCTCCCAACACCATCACCTGGAGGTTGGGATTTCAACATATGAATGTTGGGGAGATACAAAGTCACCTTGATCTTGGATTTCTCAGCCCCTAAAACTGTAAGAGACAAAGTTCTGTTGTTTATAAACCACCCAGTCTATGGTATTGCTATGGCAGCCAAAAAGGACTAAAACACTTCCTCAGAACCACATGCCATTCTTTTGCAGCACCCACTACCAATGTATACTTTCCATTAACCAGTGTGATTATTTGGTCATTATCTGAATCCTCCACTACACTGTAAGCCTCATAATGCAGAGATTGGTAGTGTCTTTTTGCTGATCACTAAATCCCCTGGGTCTAGCCTAGCCAATAGCAGGTGACCAGTAATTATCTTTAAATGAACTCCTTACCTTTAAGTCATTATAATAAATAATGGTGGCTTATGCTTTTAAGAAAGTCTGTGTCCCCCAATGCCATAGCTGGCTTGTCCATATGTAGGCATCTGACTAGAACTTGGAAATTTTCTCTCTCTCCCTGTCTCTGTGCCATAAGGCCTGTAACTTGAGAGCTGTGGCCCCGATTGCTAGCTACTTATCAATCTCTATTCTTCCTTAGTAAGAGAACTCCAGTTTTAGCTCAGCACATTACCGCTACGGATGAAGACAACATATCCAGCTGCCCTTGCAGCCAGGGGTGGCCGTGTGACCAATTTCTAGTCAATGACATGCAAGGGGAAGTGTTATACAAAACTTCTGAGATAGCATCCTCAAAAGGGGAGGGGTCATATCCTTTGCCTTTCCATTTCTCCACCTCTTTCCAGGGTGGAATTTGGATGAGACGGCTGGCACTTCAGCAGCAATCCTGAATAGGAGGTGACCCTGAGAATGAAAACTCTGCTGGAAAATGATGGAGCGGCAAGATAGAAAGGGCCTATGCCACTAGTGACCATGGAGCAGCCATCCCAGCCATGGACTTCCTACCTCGACTGTTTTTTTTTTTAAAGAGGAAACACTTTAAGTTGTATGAAGTCTCTGTTGTCAGGTTTCCCTTATTTAAAGCCAAATATCATCGCTGTTGACAGTCATGTTCCTGACATGTAGAGATAATCCCTCTGCTGAGTGAGGGCAGAGAAAAGAAATCTCTCAACTTACTTTCCCCTGAGGCTCCGCTTCACCTCAGTCACGGGAATAGCCAAGCATCCCCATTTTCATTAAGCTAATTCACTTTGGCTTTCTGTCACTTGCAAACAAAAGTCTTGACTAATACATCAAGCCTAGTCTGAAAGTGAAGACACGGAGAGACGTTCAAGCTCTGTTACAATTTAAAATGCAATCAAACAGCAAACATTTATTGAGCACTTATAATGCGTTGTGCACTGTTTTAAGGACCTCACCTAACACCATCTCTCTTCACTCTTCCAACACCCCTGTGAATTAGGTGACATTATGTCCGTTTTACAGATTAGGAAACAGGCACAGACAGGTGACTGGCCCAAGGTCACACATCTAATAAAATAGTGCAATTTTAACCCAGGCAAGGTACAGAACTATAGGGGATGACCCAGTATCAAGTTTCCCTTTTGTTTTAGTTTTGGTTCCCTGATAGCAAGTCTGAGACTTGAGTGTAAGTCGTTTATGTGGGAGGTGATCCCTGGAAGCAGAAGTAAGGGGTGGGAGGAATGGGACAGAGGGTGTGTTAGTGAAGTCAGTTGTAGCAATAGGGCTGAGTACTTCTGGTCTCTGAGAAGGTTCCAGAAAGATCTGAATGGTCTAGAACACCTCTCTGAATCGTCCACCTGTGACAGCACAAGACTGGCATTTACTCACCGGCTCCTGCCCCCATTAGTGAATGGCCTGGCACCTCTGGAATGGGCAGAGCTCCCACAGGGATGCCCCATCTATCAAATGGGGATGGAGATAACAGACTCGTCTCATAAAGCTGTTAGGTTCCATGAGTTAATATATGTAAAGCGCATCAAACCATGCTGGGCACATGGAGAGCACTCAGTAATGTATGCTATGTATGACCTGAGGGAAGAGCGTTCCATGCACAGGGAACAGCAAATGTAAAGGGTCTGAGGCCAGGACACATTCGCTGTGGAAGAGGCACAGCAAGGAGGCCAGTGTGACTAGAGTTGACTCCGGGGCTTGAGGAGTGGAAGGTCAGAAGGTGTGAGCCACTGCATCCAGCCAGGGAAGGTTTCTTCACTCTTAAAAAGAGGCTCGAAGGGATGTCCTAACTTCCACTTGTGGACATTCGCATGTAATGATGTGATGTTTTGAGCTACAGTAGCCATCTTGGGACCATGAGGGGCACACCGCAGGATAACAGAACACCAAGGATGATGGCACAAAAGGATAGACAGAACCAGGGTCTTTTTTTTCTGAGAGAGTCTCACTCTCTCACCCAGGCTGTAGTGCAACGGCATGATCTCAGCTCACTGCAACCTCTGCCTCTCGGTTTCAAGCAATTCTCCTGTCTCAGCCTCTGGAGTAACTGGGACTACAGGCGCGCGCCACCATGCCTGCCTAATTTTTGTACTTTTGGTAGAGACAGGGTTTCACTATGTTGGCTAGGCTGGTCTCGAACTCCTGGCCTCAAGTGATTCGCCTGCCTCAGCCTTCCAAAGTGCTGGGATTACAGGTGTGAGCCACCGGGCCCAGCCAGAACTGGAGTCTTTGGTCACATTGTTCAACTGCCTCTTTACCAACCTTGGACATACCTACCTCCAAACATTTTATTATGTGAGAAAACAAACCTTCTTATTGCTTAAGCCATTTTGAATTGGGCCATAGATATCTTAACACAGAGAATTTGATACCAGGAAATGAGGCCTCCCTGGGTACACCATGATGATAGAATCAGGCCAGAGCTCCACTTTTCCACTCTAGAAACTGTTATCCTGCCATTCTTACTTCCTGTAATGAGGAAGATGTTTTAGAAGGGATAACTTCCCTCTTGATGAAATTCTCTAATTCTGAATAATTCTGGGGCTGAGGTGTGGGTGTCAGTTCTACTTCTTGAAATAAAGTATCATTTAGGTGCGCACGGGAATTATGTTTCGAAAGGGAAAGGCTGGAGTCTTGGTGTCAGTGTTCTAAGGTTTTGTGAGAGACTAAGAACCCAAAATAAATGATCTTCAACAGCAAAATGGATGTTATGCAATTCACAGAGCACTATGAGCACTCTCTCAATTCACACAACTTTGAGTGATGGGCAGCATGACTTCATTTTACAGACGGGGTTCAGAAAGTGTCAGCAACTGGTGGAAGGCAAAGTAGAAACTCCTGGCTCCCTCCTTCGTCTCCAGTTTTCTCCAGCTGGCAGGGTAAGTATGCATTTCTCCATGTTCGTGCCATTCAGGTTGAGAAGGAAGACAAGCAAACCAGACATGCTTGTCTTCGACCGAGTCTGGGATCGTCCACCTTCCTGCTTGGAGTTGGTGGTTAAGTGGCCCCACAGTTTGGACTCGTGTGACCTGACTTTCATTTCAGCTGACCTTGAACAGCGGGTCTATAACTGCACCTACTTCCAGTAGTGTTGTAATGACACAAACAGACAGTGTGGAACTTGAAGGCAGGGCCCACCCATTGTCAGCGCGACTCCTGAGGGCTCCGTGTGACAGTCACTGTTGCTGAACCAAGGCAGCCAACGGTGGGGTAGAAGGCGGACTCTGGAGCCAGACCGTCTGGATTTGAACGCGGATTCGGCCACTTACTAGTTCCGTGATCTTGGGTACATCACTTAAACCTGTGTCTCAGTCTCCTCTTCTGTAAAATGGGAATAACAGTCATACCTTCCTTGCAGGGTTGTTTTGAGGTTCAGATACGTTAATACACGTGCAAAATGTTCGGAACGACTCCAGACACAGCCGGCGCCAGACTGGAAGTGGAACCGCTGGTGGGGATCATAACCTCGCTGGCTAGGAACCCCAGCAGCGGGGCAGCAGCGCACCGCGGGCTTTGCCGACTCACCCTGGCTGGGCAGGTCCGCCGCGCTCTCCCCCGCCCCCGCCCCCGCGGCCTAAGTCGGCCCGGCCGGTGCGTCACCCGCGCCCCTCCCGCCCCGCGACCTGCAAACTCACCCTGAGTCAGCCCGCCCGGGCGTTTCCACTCCCCGGACGCCGCGCGGCGCAGGGGAGGCGAGAGGCGCCCCCCGGTGGAGAGCCTGAGCCCCGCGCGAGTCTGGCGGCACCTGGCGAGCGGAGCCGGAGTCGGGCTGGGGACCGCGGGGTCGAGGCCGGACCGCGGCGGGGTCGGGGGAGAAACGCGCGCTGCCCTGGCACGGGCCCCCCCCCCCGGCCGCGCGGAATGGTATGGCCCGGCCGGAGTTAAGGCCGGGGGGAGGCGGCGAGTCCCGCGGCGGCGGCGACGATGGGGCTGCGTGCAGGAGGAACGCTGGGCAGGGCCGGCGCGGGTCGGGGGGCGCCCGAGGGGCCCGGGCCGAGCGGCGGCGCGCAGGGCGGCAGCATCCACTCGGGCCGCATCGCCGCGGTGCACAACGTGCCGCTGAGCGTGCTCATCCGGCCGCTGCCGTCCGTGTTGGACCCCGCCAAGGTGCAGAGCCTCGTGGACACGATCCGGGTGAGGCCTCGGGGAGTCCAGCCAACCGGAGGGAGGGCTTCGGAGGAGGGAGGTTGCCGGAGGAGGGAGGTCGCTGCGATGGACGCGAGACGGACTGGTTCCGGGCCCAGCCGGAGCTCAGCCTCTGCTGTGTGACCTTGAGCAAGTAGCTGGGCCTCTCTGGGCCTCTGTTTCCTCACTTGAGCAAGGAGGGAATTGGGCGAGATAATTAAAGTAGTGATGATAACGCTTATAACGCTAGTGCTTGCAGTGGTCCAGGAACTGCAGGAAGTCCCTCAGTTTCCTATGCCAACCCTAGGAGGTAGATAGTGGCTCTTTTGCAGACGAGAACTGAGGCAGGGAAGATTTCAGCGGCTTGACTAAGATCAGGCGCTTAAAAAGTGACACGGCTGGAATTCACACCCAGGCAGCCTGGGCCCCACTGCCCAGCACATGGCCACCGCACTACCCGGAGATAAGCCGTGGGCTCTCATGGCTGTGACAGTCAGTGACAGTGGGACTAGGTGTGTCATATCTGCTGGGAGGCCCTTGTCTGAATGGGAAGTGGGAGAGGTCAAGGGTCAGCTCCACCACTGAGGAAGGGTGTTAAGAATACCGGAGTGATTCTGGCAGGAACTTGGGGGCCCCGCAAGAACAGGTGTCAGGTTAGGCCTACATAACGTTGTGTCCCCTTCCCCCGACCCTTGGAAGGTGAGCACATGAGATCCCTAAGCCCCACCCAGCACCTCTACAGCCACCCCCGATAACTTTCAGTCCTAGTATTTACACTAGTGTCCTCACTGCCTGGAGCCACTTCCCCAGACAACCACAGGGCCTGCTCCCCTGCCTGGTTCAGCTCTCTGCCTCCTTGATCACCCTTGGTCAGAGTCACTGGCCTCTCTAGCTCTCCCCTTAGCCCGAGATGTTTTTCAGGATACCACTTATGTCCACCAGAAATTATATTATACATCTATTTGTGTTGCATTTTATTTTCTGTCTTCCTGACCTCACGTGCACTCCACAAGGGCGAGGACCTCGTCCCATCTTATCTGTTGCCACAATAGTAGCACGGCGCCTGGCTGAGATGGGAAGGGATCTGCCATGCATGCCCTGTCCCACCACTGGGCTTTTTCTCCCGTTGAGAACCTCTTCTATCTCTGCCTTGTCGTTTCTCACTCTTTCTCGGTCTTCCTGTCTCAGTGTCAGGATCTTCCCTGACCATCCCTACCGGGTTAGGAGCTTCTGTGGGCCTGCAGCCACCTGTGTGCCCACCTGCATAGCTCTGATCTCACTGGCTTTTTTTTTTTTTTTTTAAGACGTTGTCTGGGTCTGTCACCCTGGCTGGAGTGCAGTGGCACGATCTTGGCTCACTGCAACCTCCGCCTCCCGGGTTCAAGCCATTCTCCTGCCTCAGCCTCCCAAGTAGCTGGGATTACAGGCGCCCACCACCACGCCTGGCTAATTTTTGTATTTTTAGTAGAGATGGGGTTTCACCCTGTTGGCCAGGCTGGTCTGAAACTCCAGACCTCAAGCGATCTGCCCACCTCGGCCTCCCAAAGTGCTGGGATTACAGCCCACTGGCTTTTAACGTCCTGTCTAGACACCTGCCTTCCGTGCTAGAACCGTAGGCTCTGAGGGCCAGAACCAGCTCTGCCTTTGCTTACATACACCTGTATTAGTTTTCTGGGGCCACTGTAAGTTACCACAAAGTTGATGGCTTAAAACAACACAGGTTTATTTATGGTCAGAAGTCCAAAATGGGTCTTACTGGGCTAACACCAAGCAGGGCTGCACTACTTTCTGTAGGCTCTAGGGGAGAATCCATTTCCTCGCCTTTCCCAGCTTCCAGACGCCACCCACACTGCTTGGCTTATGGCCTCTTCCTCTGTCTTCAAAGCCAGCAACATCAGGCCAAGGCCTTCTCACATCGCATCACTCTGACCTCTTCCTCTACTTCCTCTTCCAGTTTTAAGGACCCTGATAATGGCATTCGACCCATCTAGATAACCTTGGATAATTTCCGCATCTCAGGATCCTTACCTTAATTCTGTCTGCCAAGTCCCTTCTCCCATGTAAGGTAACACATTCAGAAGCATTCGGGCGTGGACATCTTTGGGAGCCATCATTCTGGCCATCCACCATCGTGCCTCCAGTACCCGGCACAAGGCCTGCCTGGCACGGCTGCCCTCCTTAGTGCTCCACTAATGCCCGGTAGGCATCAGCTCACTGACTCTTCATCAGCAGCCCTCTAGGATGTTTTATTCCCAGTTTACAGGTGAGGAATGGTGTTCAGAGGGCTGTGTGCCCCAGCTGCTGTGGAGAGGAGCTGAGATCCAAAGTCAGGTGTGCCAGGTTCCAGAGCTCAGGCTTGTGACTGCTGCACCTTACTGCTGAATAATCATTTGTGGAATCATGAGAGAGAACCCGTGGACCAGCAGCAGGAGGCCTTCCACGCCGCTCACACTTAATGGGGTCTCCCCAGAGTGCTCTACCCTGCACCCGTCCTGCCCCAGACTTTCCCTGTTTAGAGGATGACCTACTCTCCACCTGGCTGTGTGGGCCCCTAACAGGAAGTCAACTTAGATTCTCCCTTTTCTCTTGCCCTTGGATTCACCCCTTCTGCCAGACCCCTTGGGCCTGCCCCGTAAATGTGTCCCAAACCTGTCTACCTCTCCCTGTCCCCACCACACCATCATCCAGACCAGCATCTTCTGCTGAATACCTGCAGAGGCCTCCCCTCTGCCTTCCAGCCCTGTGCCCTGTCCACCCTGCCAAGTCTGTTCTCCTGTGACAACTTTCTAGAACATGCATCAGATCATGTCACCCTCCCCTGTTGCCAACACTCCAGGGCCCACCCACTGCTCTCAGAAGCAGACCTGCACCATCTGGCTCCTGCTGGCCTTTCTGACCATTCCTGGAGCCCTGGAGTCCACTCTAGTGAACTCCTTGCTGTGCCTCCTACACAGTGAACGTGCTCTGGTTTCAAGTCCTTTGCGTTTGCTGTTCCCTTTGCATGGAACGTTCTTCCCTCAGGTCATACACAGCATACATTACTGAGCACTTTCCGTGTGCCAAGCATGGTTTGAAGTGCTTTATATATATTAACCCATTTAACCCAAAAATTCTATGAGATGGATCTGTTATCTCCATCCAATTTGATAGATGGGGCAACTGAGGCACAAAAAGATGAATTGCCCAAGATCACATAGCTGTTAAGCAGCAGAGCTAGATTTGAACCCAGGCAGTTGAGCTCTTAATCGAAACTATTCCACTTCTCTCTTTTTTTTTTTTTTTTGAGATGGATTCTCGTTCCATCGCCGAGGCTGGAGTGCAATGGTGCGATCTCAGCTCACTGCAACCTCCGCCTCCTGGGTTCAAGTGATTCTCCTGCCTCAGCCTCCTGAGTAACTGTGATTACAGGCATACACCACCATGCCCAGCTAATTTTTGTATTTTTAGTAGAGACAGGGTTGTGCCATTTTGGCCAGGCTGGTCTCAAACTCCTGACCTCAGGTGATCCACCCGCCTCGGCCTCCCAAAGTTCTGGGATTACAGGCATGAGCCACCGTGCCCGGCCCCACTTCTCTATCTTTCCAAGTACTCTGCTTCATTCTTACCTCAGAGAGGCCTCGTGGACCCCATCTCTGTCCTGTCACCTGTGTTATTGTCATTATAGCATTTGTCACTCTAATATTTACTTCTTGTTCCATCTGCCCCACTAGACTGGAGCCCCTTGAAGCCAGGGCCTGATTCAGTCACATTCCAGCTGTACCGTATTCCCAGGGTCTACAACAGGGCCAGCTGGATAGTGTGCATGTGGTGTGCTGATACATGTGTGGGAGAAATCCCTGATTTGTAGCATCTGTCCATTTCTCTGGTGTAAATACTCTCCCATGGCTGATTTTCAAGCTACAAGGTGATGTCGAACAGCTCACAAAATTCCTGATAATTAACAGTTGTCTCTCACAGTAGTCCAGTGTGATCACCTTATAAGGAGCTCAGCACAAGTGGACAAAGTCTGCTTTACAAACTCTCAAGCCTTGTACCATGTCCATTGACTCTGTGCCTCTTCTCCCCAGGAGGACCCAGACAGCGTGCCCCCCATCGATGTCCTCTGGATCAAAGGGGCCCAGGGAGGTGACTACTTCTACTCCTTTGGGGGCTGCCACCGCTACGCGGCCTACCAGCAACTGCAGCGAGAGACCATCCCCGCCAAGCTTGTCCAGTCCACTCTCTCAGACCTAAGGGTGTACCTGGGAGCATCCACACCAGACTTGCAGTAGCAGCCTCCTTGGCACCTGCTGCCACCTTCAAGAGCCCAGAAGACACACCTGGCCTCCAGCAGGCTGGGCCATGCAGAAGGGATAGCAGGGGTGCATTCTCTTTGCACCTGGCGAGAGGGTCTGACTCTGGGCACCCCTCTCACCAGCTACAAGGCCTTGGACTCACTGTACAGTGTGGGAGCCCCAGTTCCCACCTCTGTGACAATAGGATCATGGCCTTACCCTTGAAGCATTACCGAGAAGGAGAACAGAGATGGGCTTGAAGAGCCACGTGCTGCCGGCTCCAAATTCCCAAGGACAAGGATCCCTCTGCATTTTTGTCTATGTAACCTCTTATATGGACTACATTCAGCTGCAAGGAAAGGAAAACCTTGATTGCAGTGGTTTAAACAAACAGAAGATTGTTTTTCCACATAGCATGGATTCTGGAGATGGGTGGCTAATGGTATTGGTTCAACAACTCCACGAAGGTAGGGGTCACGTCTTGGATCCTTTTGCCTTAATCTCAGTGCTCGTTACTTCATGGTCCCAAGATGGCTGCTGTATCCCCAAGAATCATGTCTGCGTTCAAGGAAGGAGGGGTGGAGGAAGAGGAAGGGCCAAACTAGCTGGACCCGTCACCTTCTATCAGAAAGTAAAACCTCGTCAGAAGTCTGTTTCCTGCTCTCTCCCTCTGCATATCTTCACTTAGATGCCCTTGGCCCGAGCCAGCTACCATTGCACCTCTAGCTGCAAACAAAGCTAAGACAGCAGGGAACAGAATTGTCATGGCTGAATAGACCAATCGTGTTCCATCTACTGAGACTGGCACACTGCCTCCTGCAATAAAACTGGGATCCCATTACCAAGAGAGAAATGCAGAATTGTGTACCAGTTAGCTTTTGCTGTGTAACAAACCATCCCCAAACTTGGCAGCTAGAAACAAACCCTGTATTTTCCCACAATCCTATGGGTTGGCAATTTGGGCTGGGCTCAACAGGGCAGTTCTGCTGCTCACACCTGGGATCCCTCATGGAGCTAAGGTCAGCTGTTACCTCAGCTGGGCCTGGATGGTCTAGGATAGCCTTACTCACTTGCCTGGCAGGTGACAGGCTGTTGGCTGGAATTGCTTGGTTCTCCTCCATGTGGCCTCTCCAGCAGGCTAGCTCAGGCTTATTCACATGATGGCTTCAGGATTCCAAAGAGAGTGAGAGTAGAAGCTGAAAGACTTCTTGAGTTCTTGGCCTGGAACTGGGACTAGGACAGTGTCACTTCTGCTAAGTTCTTTTGGTCAGAGCAAATCACAAGGCTTTACCCAGATTCAAGGGATGAGAAACAGACTACATGTCTTGATGAGGGGAACCACAAAGAGCTTGTGGCCATTTTTCACCTATCACAAATAATTTTGGATGGGTATTTATTTGGATAAAGGTATTTCCCTCTTCCCCCTTTCTCTCTGTCTCATGGGGCCTCACTCTGCCAAGTTGGAAGGCACTAAGACATTGTCCTGGCCCTCAGGGTCTAGGGGAAGAGGTGTTGGGGCAGGAAGTGAGTCTCTCCATGGGCTGGACCCACTGTAGTAGGAGTGCCTCCTTGTCTGCACTGCTGGTATGGGGTTAGGCCAGGTAGGACATTCCAGAGGGGCTTCTGAAAACCAAGAGTCCCTGGGGAAAGGGAACAGAGTAAGGCAGGCCTTGTTCTCACTGCCCTCTAAGGGAACTTGGTCACTCGGCACTTTTAAGCCTCAGTTTCTCCAGTTCAATAATAAGGACAAGAGCTTTTCCCATGCATTCTCTTTCCCCGGGAAAGTTGACTGAGGTGACCAGTAATAGAATTGAAAAGGGAGAGTGTCTTCAGTGCAATGTGGCATCCTGGATTGGGTCTTGGAACAAAAACAGGACATTAGTGGGAAAATTGGAAATCTGAAAAAAGTCTGAATTTTAGTTAATATACCAATTTCAGTCTCTTGGTTTTGACAGATGTACCATGGTGATGTAAGATGTTGACCTTGGGGTAGGCTGGGTGAAGGGTATACAGGAACTCTTTGTACTATCTCTGCAACTTCTCTGTAAATCTAGTATCATTCCAAAATAAAAGTTTATTTAATTTAAAAAAAAAAAGGGGGGGTGTGCAATTCCTTTAGACCAATGGTTCAGGGTCTCAAGCTTGTTTGCTAAATACCAGATTGCTGGGCCCCACCCCCACTTTCTTTTTTTTTTGAGACAGGGTCATGCCCTGTCACCCAGGCTGGAGTGCAGTGGCACGATCATGACTCACTGCAGCCTTGACCTCCCGGGGCTTAAGTGATCCTCCCACGTCAACCTCCTGAGTAGCTGGGACTACAGGTGCGCCCTTCTCATTTTTTTGTAGAGACAGGGTTTTGCTGTGTTCTCTGGGCTGGTCCTAAACTCCTGGGCACAAGCGATTCTCCCGCCTCAGCTTCCCAAAGTGCTGGGATTACAGACATGGCCACTGCCCCCGGCCCCCCAGAGTTTCTGATTGAGGCGAGTTGGGGCAGGGCCTGATAATTTGCTTTTCTAACAAGTTCCCAGATGTTGCTGATGCTGCTGTTCAGGGACCACATGCTAAGAGCTGCTAATAACTGCGTCAGTTATTTTCAAATACGGTGACTTCCCCACTTCCATCCCCAGTGGAATGAGTCTACTCATTCCCCCCAGCTTGTCTACTCATTAACTGTGTGACCTTGGGCGGTTCTGTCCCTTCCCTGGGGACTTCTTCCAGGCTGTCAAATGGATTGTGTACCCCTAAGGTTTGTAGCGAAGGTGAGGTGCCCCTGTCTTCTGTGAGTAAACTCCTCCTGTGCCCGCTGGGCTGGAATGAGAGTGAAGATGGTCGCCCCCTCCTGAAACAACTTTTCCTTCTTGCAGAGAAGACCCAACCAGACAGCGCTAAGGGCCCTGCCAGGCACTGCGAAGGAGGTGCAGAACAGATTCGGAGTAGAGGGGTACTGCTTGATCATTTAAGGAAGAGGAGCTGGGTTTTAAAGGGTGTAACCTGCTGGTAGCCGGAAGTTGCGTTTCCCTCTTACAGCAGCAGGTGGCGCTGCTCTCCGGCCCCCGCGGCAGGGCCGTCCCTCTGGCCTGCAAGAGCTACAGCTGTGGGAAGGGGCTGGATGCACGCGCAGGGCTGAAAGAGGCGGGATAGTTAACCCGGGTTCAGCCGGGATGAGTCTGGAGTTCAGGTTCTATTTATCAGCTCTTGTTCTGTAACCTTGCGCACATGTCTACCCATTCCTGTCTATACTGGGGGTGCTGGGCCAGAGAATCTCAGGCTCAGCAAAGGTGGTACCTCCTCCAAGAAGCTTCTGGGCTCCTACTGGCTGGGCTACCATGACCTACAGTGTCCCTCCCCAAAAAAACCTCTGCCCCCAGGAACTTGGCTCCAGTGAAAGGCAGTATGTGCCTTCACCGCCCTGGAACCCACCCACTTGACCGTGGTAGATTTAAATTTCCTTTTTTTTTTTTTTTTTGTTTTCATTTCACAAGGCTTTTTGTTGTTGTTGTTTTAGTAGAAATGGGGTTTCACCATGTTGGCCAGGCTGACCTTGAACTCTTGGCCTCAGGTGATCTGTCCGCCTCGGCCTCCCGAGGCACTGGGATTACAGGTGTGAGCCACCATGCCCAGCCATTTCACAAGTTTTATATAAGTATATTTACTTTTTAAAATGTGTTTGTTCGTTTGTTTGTGATGGGGTTTTGCTCTGTTACCAAAGCTGGCACGCAATGTTCTGATTATAGCTCACTGCAACCTCAAACTCCTGGGCTCAAGCCATCCTCCTGCCTCAGCCTCCCGAGTAGCTAGGACTACAGGCACCACCACACCCAGCTAATTTTGTTTTTAACGTTTTATAGAGACCAGGTCTTGCTCTGTTGCCTGGGGTGGTTGGTCTCCAACTCCTGGCCTCAAGTGATCCTCCCGCCTTGGCCTCCCAAAGTATGATATTACAGGCATGAGCCACTGCATTCAGCCATATTTACCGTTTAAACATTAAAATATTAAAATGTTAAATAATTAAATATTAGAAATTTAAAGTATTAGAGGCAAGCGGAAGCCCACCACAAAACCTAGTCCTGATTATTCCTTTGCCCTCTTGGGACAGTTACCTTTATGAATTTGGCATAGAGCCTCCCAGACTCTTATCTAATTTAATAGTAATGAATGTGCGTTTAAGTAAAAAATGTTTTCTTTTTTTGCGCTGTTTTGTGGATTGCTTTTCTCCCTTGGCACTGTGCCCCAGCCGTCCATCCCATTCGTGCGTGCCTGTCTCCCAGTCTCCCTCATTCTGGTCTGTGCCCAAATGTCACTTCTTCAGGGGCCTTCCCAACCATAGCGTCTAAAACAGCCCCCTCCCCCATCATTCCGTCCCTTTATCCAGTTTTATTTTCTTCATGGCATTTGTCACACTCTCCCAAATTTTCTTCTGTGTCTGCTTTTTTTGTTTTTTTTTTTAAGACAGGATCTTGCTCTACCACCCAGGCTGGAGTATGCAGTGGCACCATCGTGGCTCACTGCAGCCTCCAACTTCTGGGTTCAAGCAATCCTCCCACTTAGCCTCCTGAGTAGCTGGGATTACAGGTGTGTGTCACCACACCCAGCTAATTTTTTATTTTTCTTTTGTAGAGATGAGGTCTCACAATGTTTATCAGGCTGATTTTCAACTCCCGGCCTCAAGCAGTCCTCCCATATTGGCCTCCCAAAGTGCTGGGATTACAGGTGTGAGCCACCGTGCCTGGCCAAATGTACGTTCTTAAGGCAGGACTCAATCTGTCTTGTTTATCACTGTAGGTTCAGTGCTAAGAACAGTGCCTAAAAGATAGTAGTGTTAATCAATATCTGTCAAATGAATAAATTCCAGCTGAGTCTATCTCATTCTTTTTCACCGCTGCGTGGTGTTCCAGGCTGTGAATGTAGCCGTTTGTTAGTCGTGATCATGTTCATGGAAGCATGGGGGCTTACAGTTATTTGCGGCTGCGAACGGCCCCCGCCATCACCCTGCTCTTTCAACTGTATACCCAGGAGTGGAGCTGCCTGGCTGATGCATACGCCCATTTCCATCTTCTAAGACCCTGGCAAATTGCTCTCCAAAGTGGTTGTTCCAAGTGCCACCCTCTCCGGTGGAGTTTGGGAGCCTATTTGCCTTCCCTGCACTCCAACCAGTACTTCTTAGCCTTGTTTGGGATCATGAACGTGGTTGAGAACACAAGAAAGCCATGAGTCCTTTCCCCAAAAATACACACACACGCATTTTGGGCCGTTTCTGGGCCTCCCTGTATTTGATGATCTCCTTCCCTGGGGGACCCTGTATCAAATGTTTAGAAGCCTCATTATCTCATGGATGGGAACTGTGAGGCACAGGCAGGTGGCAGTGTGAATGAATGAATGAGTGAATTGATGAAAGAAAGGGCTGTCCTTTTGTAGGAGGCAAAGGAGAGCCTTGAGACCCTGACCTACCCCCAGTCAGAAAAAAAAACCCCACCTATCTGGGTCACTCCAGTCCCGCCCTACCCTGGACCAGAAGGCTCCAAGGACAGGCTGCAATGGGTTCCTGGGCTCAGGCTTGGGCAGCTGCACCTATCACCCCTGGAGAAGGCAGACCAAGCCTGGCACCCAGGGTCAAGGCAGGCAATCAGGGGGAGCCACTGACTTCCCTGGGCTGAAAGAGGGTGGGGTGAAACATCCATCCCGCTTCCCACACAGGCACGCACTATAGGCTACAAAGCACATTTGCGTCCAGCCCCTGACTTAGCACTTCTATGGTACCCGAAGTAGAGACTGCGATTAGGGGAAGGCTGTCATCCTCCGTCGTCATCATCATCATCACTGTAGCTCCCCTACTTTAACTCTCACATTAGCCCCCAGAGGTGGACAGGGCAGAAATGATCTTTCCTGTTGGACAGACGGGTAAACTGAGGACCGAAGCAGCGTAGCCACCTGCCGCAGGGCCCCCGGCTCGTCCACCCGCACCCCGCCGGCCCACGCGCGCCGCCCTCCCTCGCGGCCCCTTCCCCGGGCCTGACCCCCCGGCTCCGCCTGACAGATGACCTCAGCTGCCGCCAATCCATTGGTTCCAGCTCCCGGGGGCGGCGCAGAACAAAGCGCGCTCTGTGGCCGGGCGGTCCCCTCACCCCGCGCGTCCGCCGCCGGGACCCCCCTCCGGAACTGCGAGCGCCGCCCCCCGCCCGACAGCCGTGTAATGTCTTCCAGGCCGCGCGGCCCCTTCCAGAGCCCGAGGGCCGCCCTCGCCTCCCGCAGGGGGCTCCGCGGGGCCGTCCAGGGTGCTCCACCCCCGCTGGCCCCCCCCAGGCAACTCCACCCCCGCTGGCCCCCCCCAGGCAACTCCACCCCCGCTGGCCCCCCCCCACAGGCAACTCCACCCCCGCTGGCCCCCCCCCAGGCAACTCCACCCCCGCTGGCCCCCCCCAGGCAACTTCACCCCCGCTGGCCCCCCACCACAGGCAACTCCACCCCCGCTGGGCCCCCCCCAGGCAACTCCACCCCCGCTGGGCACCCCCCCCCAGGCAACTCCACCCCCGCTGGGCCTCCCCCCCCCAGGCAACTCCACCCCCGCTGGGCCTCCCCCCCCAGGCAACCCCACCCCCGCTGGGCCCCCCCCAGGCAACTCCACCCCCGCTGGGCCTCCCCCCACAGGCAACTCCACCCCCGCTGGGCCCCCCCCAGGCAACTCCACCCCCGCTGGGCACCCCCCCCCAGGCAACTCCACCCCCGCTGGGCCTCCCCCCCCCAGGCAACTCCACCCCCGCTGGGCCTCCCCCCCCAGGCAACTCCACCCCCGCTGGGCCCCCCCCCCAGGCAACTCCACCCCCGCTGGGCCCCCGTCCCAGGCAACCAGATTGGGGGGCACCCCCAGAGGGAGGCTCTGCTGGCTGCCCCCTGTCCCTGCGGAAGCAGCGGGAGGGCAGGGTCCGATGTCCGGGTTTCTATGCCAGGCAGGGATGATGATCCCTGTCACCGGATGATCTTATCCCTGTACCCTCAGCGCCGCCGTCTGCAGTGGAAAATGCTGTTACTGCTCGGAGGTGTTGTTGCTGTTGTCGTCGCTGTTATTGTTATTATTTTGTGGTTGTGCACAGGAGTCACTTTCTTTATTTATTTGACTTTTTTTCGAAACCAGGTCTAGCTCTCTGACCCAGGATGGAGTGCAGTGGTGTGATCACAGCTCATTGCAGTCTCCAACTCCCAGGCTCAAACCATCCTCCAGCCTCAGCCTCCCAAGTAACTGGGACCACAGGCACGTACCACCATGCCTGGCTAATTTTGTAAGTTTTTTGCGGAGACAAACAATGTCTTGTCACGTTGCCCAGGCTAGTCCCGAACCCCTGGGCACAAGTGATCCTCCTGCCTCGACCTCCCAAAGTGCTGGTGTGAGCCACTGCCCCCCCTCTGGGAATCACTTTAGATTCAGACAGATCTGGGTTTGAATTTGTTTGTGTTACTTACTAACTGTGAGACCTTGGAAAGTTAGTTCACCTGTCAGAACAACAAGAGTACCCAACATTTATTGAGCACCTCCTATGTGCCAGACACAGCTCTGTGTTTAAAGGCTTTATTTAGCTCATTTAATCCTCAAGGTAACCTTAGGAGGGAGGAGTTATTCTCCTCATTTTACAGAGGAGGGGACAGAGGCTCCAGCTGCCCTAGAGACAGATTCACCTCTCTGAGCCTCAGTTTTCTCATCTGTAAAAGGGGACAAGCATAGTAACTCCCCGTGGGCCATTCACTCTCATGAGTCTTGCCTCTTTCCCGATGAGGTCGCGGAGGCTGTGAGCAGGTTCCTGGCTGCCCAGAGACATTCAGGGTGGCTCTTCCCCTAAGGCCCTTCATCCTTGGAGTACCCTCCACGAGAGGGCAGCTCCAGTTGGGCTTACCTGGGATGGAGGTATAGGAGGAAGGTCTGCCCTGCAGCTGGAAACCTCCCTCCTAAGGGACAAGCTTGCTGCCCTGGCCTGCCCTTGAGGGTCAGAGGGTGGGGCAGGCAGAGAGAAAAGCTATATCCGGAGAGGGGACTGAGGGGCCACAGTGAGGCTGGGCAGGGCTGGGAGTGACTGCCCTCCACCCTTCACACACACCCCTGGACATTCATTCTGCAAATCAGTACCATTCCAGGCACTGGAGCCATCAGAGTACAAAACAGACGCAAACTTCTGTCCTCTTGAAGTCCACTCTGGGAGACAGGCGATGACACACACAACATATGTATCAAAGGTAAAATGTGATGTCTGGTAGTGATATATGCTCTGAGGGAAAAGCAGGGGAGGGAGGAAGAATGAGCTAGGAAATATTTAGGTAAGGTGGATGGGCCTCTCTGAGAGGGGGCATTGACCTGGGCAATGAGAGGAAAAATGCCCTGTGGGTGTCAGAGGGATGTGTTCCAGGCAGAGGGAACAGCATATGCAAAAGTCCTGAGCTGGAGCCTGCACAGAGTGAGTGTTCAAGAAGCAGCAAGGAGGCCAGTGTGGTGGGGTCAGTGGAGGTGGGAGAAGGGCTGTGGCTGGGCAGGTGACGAGGCTGGAGGGGTGAGGAGGGGTGAGGGTCATCAGCTTGGGAGGGGCCTCATAGCTGGGTGAGGACTTCGGCTTTTTCTCCAAGTGAGCTGGGAGCCTTGTGAGGCTTTGAGCAGAGGAAGGACATGGTCTGGCTCTGGCTGCCGAGTGGAGCAGGAAGAGAAAGAAGGTGAAGGGGATGCTGCTGTCACCAGAGCCCCAGGTGATGCTTGGTGGATTGCACACGGGTAGAAAGAAGTGATCCGGATCAGGACATAACTTGAAAAAGGAGCTATTCCCTGTGCTGAGCTTAGAAACAGGTTTCTGGGCGGGGCGCGGTGGCTCATGCCTGTAATCCCACCACTTTGGGAGGCCAAGACAGGTGGATCACAAGGTCAGGAGTTCAAGACCAGCTTGGCCAAGATGGTGAAATCCCATCTCTACTAAAAATACAAAAATCAGCCGGGAGTGGTGGCGGGCGCCTGTAATCCCAGCTACTTGGGAGGCTGAGGCAGGAGAATTGCTTGAACCCAGGAGGTGAAGGTTGCAGTGAGCCAAGATTGCACCATTGCACTCCAGCTTGGGCAACAGAGCGAGACTCCATCTAAAAAATAAAAATAAAAATAAAACCATGCTTCCTAAAGTCCCATCAATGGCTCAATGACCACCTGCACAATTTGGGCCATTTGGGACAGGAGGGCTTGCCATTACCTCAGGGACCATGGCCCTTGAATTTCTAAATCTATTTGCTTTTGTTTTACTTTAAAAAAAAAAAATAAGGAAACTTGAAATAGCCAGGGTAGATGGAAAATTTGGGCCAGACGCGGTGGCTCACGCCTGTAATCCCAGCACTTTGGGAGGCTGAGATGGGTGGATCACCTGAGGTCAGGAGTTCAAGACCAGCCTGGCCAACACGGTGAAACCCCGTCTCTTCTAAAACTACAGAATAAGCCGGGCATGGTGATGAGCACCCATAATCCCAGCTGCTCGGGTGGCTGAGGCAGGAGAACTGCTTGAACCCAGGAGGTGGAGGTTTCAGTGAGCCAAGATTGTGCCATTGCCCTCCAGCCTGGAGACAGTGAGACTCCATCTCAAAAAAAAAAAAAAATTGTATCATGTGGCACAAATAAAGGTAGCTGTAAATATAAACAACATAAATATAACCTTGTTACTAACTTCCTCCAGATTGGGCTGGTGTTAGAGATACACATCCCCACCAACCCTGACTCTCCTTGCAGGAATCAGGACTGGAAGAGATTGAAAAAGGATTAATCTTGCTTCTGCATGTCCTCACCCTTTTTCATTGTATTTAACAAACAGAAAGTACTTTTGACATGCTGGGCCCTGTTCTCCAATATAAAGTCATTTAATCCTCACAACAAGCCAATAAGACAGGGACAATTATGACCCCCACTTTGCAGATGTAAAAACTGAGGCTCAAAGAGGCAAGGTCCTTGGCCCAGAGTCATACGGCAAGGATGAGGCAGAGCCAGGATTCAGCCTAGGGAGGCCCTCTCTGGAGGCCATTCTGGCAACCATCACATGATTGTCTCTTTTCTTTTAAAAAAAAATTTTTTTTGAGGCAAGGTCTGGCTGTGTCACCTAGGCTGAGGTGGAGTAGTAAGATCACAGCTCATGCAGCCTTGACCTCCTGGGCTCATGTGATCCTCCTGCCTCAGCCCCCTGAGTAGCTAGGACCACAGGTATGTTCCATCATGTCCAGCTTTTTTTTTTTTTTTTTTTTAACAGAGTCTCATTCTGTCGCCCAGGCTGGAGTGCAGTGGTGTGATCTCGGTTCACTGCAACCTCCACCTTTCAGGTTCAAGTGATTCTCCTGCCTCAGCCTCCTAAGTAGTTGGGATTACAGGCACACGCCAACATGCCCAGCTAAATTTTTTGTATTTTTAGTAGAGATGGGGTTTCACCATGTTGGCCAGACTGGTCTCGAACTCCTGACCTCATGATCCACCCACCTTGGCCTTCCAAAGTGCTGGGATTACAGGCTTGAGCCACTGTGCCCGGCCTTAATTTTTTTATTTTTATTTTTATTTCTGTAGAGATGGGGATCTCACTATGTTGCCAATGCTGGTCTTGAACTCCTGGCCTCGAGCAATCCTCCTGCCTTACCCTCCCAAAGCGTTGGGATTACAGATGTGAGCTACCACGCCCAGCCTGTTCTCTCCTGAAGTCATTTCAGTATCACTTTGGGAAGCATGGAACTATTGGAACTAGAAGGGTCTTCAATTTTAATTCAGGAAATATTCATTGTCTGCTAAAATATGTCATATCATATCACCTCTTGCTTAAAAGTGTTTGGAGATCAAATTTAGAAAACAATTCCAGGCTCTTCACCATCAATACCCAAAATGTCCATGTCCAGCCAGGCTGGCTGCTTCCTAGTTTCCAATTGCTCTGTGATCTCAGGGCTCTTGCACTTGCTCTTGCCTCTATCTGGAATGCCCTTTCTCTTGTTCTTCTGGCTTTGTTGCATTCTTCAGGTCCCAGCTCAAATATTACCTTCCTAGAGAGACTCCCCTTGCCTCTCCACACCCCGCCATGCTCTTCCCAACAGTCTCACTCTGCATTTCCTTCATAGCATGGAATCATTGTGTTTGTGTGCCTGTGTGCTTGTTCTTTGTCCTGCCGCCCACTAGGATATAAGCTCTGTGCAAGCAGGACCTGGTGGGCACAGCAGCCAAGCATCTGGGCAGAAGGGCCCAGAGAAGGGCAGCCTGGGGAGGGCAAGTGTTTGGGCTGTCCCCAGACAGGGAAGCAGATGTGTCTGTGGGGCCCCAGAGAGCACAGGATCTCCAGAAAGATAAACTTAATATGAGAAAATGTCTTTTACACACTCCTAGTGGTTCAGATGTGGAAAGGGCTATGTCATAAGGTAGTGAGTTCCCCCATTCTAGGAGCTATGCAAGTTGAGATAGGACAACCTCCCAATGTGCTGGGGCTGTGTAGAATGGATGAGATAGGTATTCATTCGCTTGCTCATTTACCCATTCATGCATTCCTCCATTCTATCTCCTATCTATCCATTTATTCACTGACTACAAAGTTTACCGTGTGGTGGGCAACCTTCATGACTTTGGCCACACCTACATGCCATCTGTATTATTATCTACTTAATATCCTCAACATGTGCTGGTGGTGGTGGTGGTGGTGGTGCTGGTGGTGGTGCTGGTGGTGGTGGTGGTTTTGAGACAGAGTCTCGCTCTGGGGTGCAGTAGTGCAATCTCAGCTCACTGCAACCTCTGTCTCCCAGATTCAAGAATTCTCATGCCTCGGCCTCCTGAGTAGCCAGGGTTACAGGCATGCACCACCACGCCCGGCTAATTTTTTTGTATTTTTAGTAAAGATAGGGTTTTGCTAAGTTGGCCAGGCTGTTCTCGAACTCCCGACATCAGGTGATCCACCCACCTTGGCCTCCCAAAGTGCTAGGATTGCAGGCGTAAGCCACCATTCCCAGCCCTCAATATGTGTTTCTAAATCAACTTTGAGGTATAATTTACATACAATAAAATGCACCTATTTTAAGTGTTATCGTGCAATGCATTTTGAAAAATGTACACAGCCATGTAACTACGACCACAAGCAAAACACAGAACATTTCCATCACCCCACAAGTGCTCTCGTGCCCCTTTTCAGTCGAGCCCTCTTCCCCACCCTGGTCCTGATCACTTCATCAGAAAGTGCCAAACACTTCCAACTCCCACTGGCCATGTCCAAACAAAGGAAAAATCAAAATCCCTTGTCACAAATAAAAGGTAACTGACCAAAATGAATAAAATGGAAACCAAACAACATTCTCAAATTCTAGATAGTGTTGTCTGTAGAAGCTCTGAGCCCAAGACCAGCCTTCTTGGGGTGGGTTTTGCGGGAGTTGGGGGAGAGAGAGAGAGAAAGAGAGATCCACAGGTGCTAGAAACACGTTCCTGGCATCATCGGAGACCTTCTCCTTGGCCTGTAAGAAGGACTGGGAGGTAATGAAAAAGGAATAACTTTTTCACTGTTGATTTATTGTTATTTAATAACTTGTTGCTGTTCACCCGTATCATCTTTTATCCACTCCCCACTCCCACCCCCAAGATACAAGTACCACGTTTGGGAAACACTGCAGCTCCTCATGCTCCCTTTCAGTCACCCACTCATCATTCATGCACATGACACATGTTTATTAGTGGCTACTCTGGGCCAGCACTGGAGCTACAGAGAAAAACTACGAGTCAGCCTGGAGTGTGGCATCGTGCCAGGCACATAGGTGACCCTGAGAAAGTATCTGTTGAATGGATTGTTGTGAAATGAAAAACACAAATACCTATGTTCTCCTTGATACTCGAGGCTGTTGCTCTAACAGAAGCTGCCTGGAGCAATCAAGAAAGGCTTCCCAGGGGAGGTGGCCCTTGAACAGAAACTTGATAAAGTTCATTCTCCTTCCACTCATTTGACAGATGAGGAAATAGAGGCACAGAAAGGTAAAGGGACTTGCTCAAGGCCACACAGGAAGAAGAGAGAGAAATGAGGGATGGGCAGAACCCAAGACTCGGGACCCCAGCCCACCATTTCTCCCAAGGGCTGGGCCAGGTCTGAGGCCAGCAGGCAGGAGGGCAGGCCTGGGGAAGGGGCTCCCAGGTCCTGAGTCTGGAATCCATTTGCTCCAGCCCAGAAATGTTTTCCCAAGGAGAAGTGGGAGGCCCTGGCCCTATCCCTCCCAGCACCACCACTCCCCCCACAACCATCTGCTCCCTGTTTATTTATTTGTACTTAAGTCTCACCTCCCAACCCTGCCAGGGGCACCAAACATACCGGCATCCCTGCAGAGAGTGGAATTAGGGGGAGAGAGGCACTGTTAGCCCCCATCACAAGGGAAAACCCAGGTCTGAGAGCTCCTCAGCCCTATTGCCCAGCAGGGATCAGTCAGGAGGACTGGGCTCAAATGCCAGCCCTGCTGGTCCCTGGCTGTGTGACCGCTCTGTGCCTCAGTTTCCTCATCTGTAAAATGGGATTGCTAATAACAGCCACCACATGGGGTTGGTAGTGAAGATTCAGTAAAGTGCTTTGGACAGCGTCTGACACAGGCACGCTTAACGAGCAATGCTGTCTTGGTATGAGTTTGAGCAGCACGTTGCTCCTCTGTGGTCTATTCCCTCAACTCCGCAGTGGACAGCTGGCTGCACAATCTGAGGGCCCCTGCAACCAAATGTCTGAGGGCTTCTGAGGGCCACAAGACCTGTTCCTTCCCCAAGACCCTTACCCCGGCCCTGGCTGAGGACAGGTGGATGATGCCAGTGCCCTGCCTCCAGGCACGATTGTACCTCGGCCATCTCCTAACCTGCAGGAAAGGCAAAGCCACACCTTCTTCAGCCCCACATGAAGCCAGCGATCTTACCTCGGCTCCCTGAGTCACCCCCACCCCAGAAGGCTGGCGCTGGCTTCCATCCACAGTGGCGCTGACTAGCACAGTGAATGCAAATCCCGGGAAACTGGGCCCAGCTGCTCATTAATGGTAATTAGCTCAGGGACTGTCAGCTGCGAAGGAGCTGCAGGGCCCAGGCTGCTACCCCCGGGGCTTTGTTCTGGTGCCACCCGCTCCCCACCCTCCACAGACCCAGCCTTCCTCCTCCTCAAGCTGCAGAGGACTGTGTGTGCTCAAAACTGACACTTCCCTCCCAAAACGGATGCTCCCCTCCCTCCCAATTTTCCCATCTCTGCCTTCATCCCTTTGCCTGAGCCCCCACTCCCCTTTTGTCCCCATCTCTCTCTCTGAGTCTACAGCCCCCATCTGAGTCTCATTCTCTCTGCACCACAGCCCCTCTCTGAGCCCACTTGCTGCTGGGTCCCTATCTATCTCACTCTCTGCGCTTATGTCTCCTCCCTTGAGCTCCCTCTTCCCTGACCAACCCCTCCTGCTCCATCTCCCTGAGCCCACTTCCACCCTGCTCCAGCCTGATTCATCTTCAAAGCCTATGTCTCCCCCCAGCCCCTATTCCCCTTGCAGATCACGCCATACTCGGGTGTGCACTTGAGATGCTGTGCCTCCTAAGGCCTTTCAGAGTTGTCACAGGCAACCTAGGCTGACCCCTCCATTCTGGAGGCCACATCGGCCTGGTCTGCGCAGGTGAAGGGAAAACTTTCCGCAGGCAGAGCCGAGGGGCCGCCTTGGCTTGGGGGCTTCCATAATCAGACAGGAACAATGCAGTGGGAGCCTTAAGAGGCCAATGAAGGACATGGAGACCTTTACTGGCCATGCCTCACTGGCTGCTGGACGCTGTATGAAGTTTATTTCCTTCTTATTGCCCCGAGGAGACGGAGGCTCAAGAGATGTCATCTGCCTGAGTCTCACAAGAGGGCCTGAGCTGAGATCAAACCAAGCAAGGCTCACTCCCCATCCCGACTTCTCTCTGCTACACCCCCAGGCCTCCCAGGCCCTGCCCCAGCCCCTCTGGCCTGCCCACGCCTGGCAAGAGGAGGCGGGAGGAACAGAAGCCCCAAGAAGGGCAGGAATTGGTGGGGGAGAAAGAGGGGAGGCAGGTGTCTGTGGGATGCACTATCCTGGCCTTCCTCAATCCTCAATCCCCCCACCCCAGCAGGCCCCTGACCCCCTCCACCCCATTCTCATCTGGCCTCCATGTGCTGGCGCCTGCACCTGAATACACACTCCCCACCAATCTGTCTTGGGCTGTCAGAGGATCAATGGGGCTCCCAAGGCCTGGCCCAGCAGGGAGCTGGAGGGGAGTCCCTAACGAGAGTTAAGAAGGGACCCAGGGGAGGAGGGGGGAAGGAGGGAGAAGCCAGGCTGAGAACGGGGGCATGAGCCTGGGTCTGGCATTTTGTTGAAAAGGCCCTTGGAAGGACTGGTTCCCCAATAGTAAGACCTGTCAACTCTCTTATTCAGGGGTTCCAGGCTGGTTTCCAAGTCTGTTTTGCCTCTGACATTGGGACCTGTCCCTTCCCCACTCTGAGTCTCAGCTTCCTTATTTGTGAACCTGAAAGAGATTGACTACCCTGGGATTGCACCTCAGATGGACATAAGTTTCTAAAATCAGCAAGAGATCTCTCTTTGTGTTCAAATATGAAATGGTCTCCAAAATATTAAATGAAATAAAACAAGATGCAGATCATGTGTCTATTTAGCTACCTTCTGCATGCACATAACTCGAGAAGAAGATGGATGAGTGGATTCGCTTGTCTATGCATAGAACATTTCTGGAAGGACACAAGAAACAGTGAGACTAGGGATGGCTTGGGGAGAGGATCGGGGTGGCTGGGGACGGAGTGGGTGGGAGATTTGCCTTACACTCTTTTATACTGTTGGAATATTGGTCCATGTTTATGTATTCCTTTATCAAATAATAATTGCATCTATTGCAAAATAGATCATCCTGCTAGGAAATATATGGGCAGGAAATATAAAGAGAAACAGAATATTTACATAGTATCAGTGTATCTTCCTATAAGGTATTCGTTAATTACAAAGAGAAAAATGGTAACTTTACAGTAGGGAAAACTGGCAGACACCACCTTCACCAAATGATCACAGTGAACATTGCTAATAGTGGGGCAAGTCGGCAGGCATCATGGGCCCCCTGATGGGACGCACTGTGAAGGACAAAGCGTCACTGATGCGGTGTTCTTGCCACAAGTGCCTGATCTGAATCCAAGCATAAAGAAATAACACAAAAATCCAAACAGAGGGACAATCTGCAAAACAACTGGTCTAAACTTTTCAAATAATGTTGATCATAAAAGTCAAAGAAACTGTTCCAGGCTGGGCACAGTGGCTTACACCTGTAATCCCAGCACTTTGAGAGGCCGAGGCAGATGGATCACCTGAGATCAGGAGTTCGAGACCAGCCTGGCCAACATGGTGAAACCCTGTCTCTACTAAAAATACAAAAAATTAGCCAGGCATAGTGGCGAGCGCCTGTAATCCTAGCTACTCAGGAGGCTGAGGCAGGAGAATCGCTTGAACCCAGAGGCGGAGGTTGCAGTGAGCCAAGATGGTGCCATTGCACTCCAGCCTGGGCAATAAGAGTGAAACTCCATCTTCAAAAACCAAAACAAAACAAAACAAAAAACTGGCCTAAACTCTTCAAATAATGTCAGCCATAAAAGCCAAAGAAACTGTTCCACGCTGGGTACAGTGGCTCACGCCTGTAATCCCAGCACTTCGGGAGGCCGAGGCAGGTGGATCACTTGAGGCCAGGAATTCGAGACCAACCTGGTCAACGTGGTAAAACTAAAAAAATACAAAAATTAGCTGAACGTGGTGGCAGGCGCCTGTAATTCCTGCTACTCGGGAGACTGAGGCAGGAGAATCACTTCAACCTGGGAGACAGAGGTTGCAGTGAGCCGAGGTGGCACCACTGCACTCCAGCCTGGGCAACAGAGCAAGACTCTGTCTCAAAAAAAAGAAACTGCTCCAGATAAGACTAAAAAGAAGACTAAAGAGACATAAACATTAAATACAACATGTGTCCTGGACTGGTTACTGAGTGGGTGGGGTGGGGGGGTAGAAATCTTTTTGTTTATTTGCTACAAAGGACATTAGTAGAACTGAAAAAATTTCAATAGGTCTATAAGATAGACAATAGCATTGTATCAGTGTCCTGATTTTTCTATCTGTCCTGCGATTTTGTAAGAGAATATTCTTGTTTTTAGAAATATACATGGGATAATTAACTTAGAGGTAAAGAGTCAACATGTCTGCAACTTATTTCCAACAATTCAGGCACTGGACAAAAATATATGCTGAGAGAGAATGAAAAAGCAAAGAATGCAAAATGTTAACATTTAAGGAATCTGGGTGATGGTATGTAGGAATTCTTTGTATTATTATTGCAAACTTTCTGTAAGTCTGAAATTATTTCAAATAAAAATTCAGGTATAAATAGAGTCATTGGCATAGCTGACATGCCAATGCCGTGATGTTCATGTGTTGTGTTAAGTGCTTGGCACATATGATCAAATTTCATCCTTGTAACTAGCCCATGAGGAAGGTGTAGCTATTTCTCTTCTTTATGCAGATGAGAATCTTGGGGCACAAGGTGGTTAAACAACTTGCTCAAGGTCACACAGCTGGAACAGATGATGCCCAGGGACTCTTCTTCAGCATCATCGGATAGCTCTGGGAACAAAGGGGCCTAGGAATCAGAATTCCATGATATGAATCCAGGGCTGTGAATTGTTTTCTCAGCACTGGGATTGTGCTGTTATTGGAATGCAGCCTTGATGTCATTATTCACCCTTCCGTCAAATATTCACTCATTGATCTGTCCAACCACATGTACTGAGCACCCACTGTCAGCCAGACACTGGAGCTGTAAAGGTGAGTGACTGGGCACGAGCTTATAGAGCACCCACCATTTACCAGGCTCTGGGCTCAGCATGGCGGTTAAAGAGATGAGCCAGACCCATCCCTGTCCTCCAGGAGCTCACTGGCTAGCAGGTGAGCCAACCAGAATAGAGACATGTAAAGGGCTGTGGGAACCCCAAGAAGTGAAAGGCTGGAAAAGGTTCCATTGAGGAGAGGGCCTTTAGGCCAGGTTTTGATGGATGTGTAGGAGTTCCTAAAATGGGGAAAGGAGCACTCTTTTTTTTTTTTTTTTTTTTTTTTTGTGACGGAGTCTCTAGCTCTGTTGCCCAGGCTGGAGTGTAGCGACATGATCTCAGCTCATTGCAACCTCTGCCTCCCAGGTTCAAGCGATCCTCCCACCTCAGCCGCCCAAGTAGTTGGGATTACAAGCACCTGCCACCACGCCTGGCTAACTTTTGTGTTTTTAGTAGAGACGGGGTTTCACCATGTTGGCCAGGCTGGTCTCGAACTCCTGACCTCAGGTGATTGTCCCACCTCGGCCTCCCAAAGTGCTGGGATTATAGGCATGAGCCACTGCACCTGGCAAAAAGGGCACCCTTAATGGAAGAAACAGCACAAGCAAAGGCTCAAAGTAGGAACAAGTAGGTTTCTGGGATCAGGTGTGGCCTGGAGTGACTGGAGCACCGTGAGAAACGTAGGGAAATGAGATTAGAGAAGCAGCAAGCCCAGCTAGGGAAGGACCTTAGGTGCCAGACAGTTGTTATAATTAAGCCCCGGAGAGTCCAGTTAAATATTTCCTTCTTCTTCTTTCCTCTCCTCCTTCTCCTTCTTTTTTCTATCAAGTACAGAGAGCTGAGTTAATCCCATTTCTCAAGCATAGCTCATTATCATCACACGCTTCACTTTTATTTTTTCCTCAAGCCCTACTCCTTTTCCCCTTACTCCCAACCATTGTGGGCATCCACTTGTGTGGAACTGACACGTGATGGTGAAGGCAGCGTGTGGTGATGTGAAGCACAAGGATTCTGGAGCTGGACTGCCTGGATTCAAAGCTGGGTCCACATCTTACCAGCTGTGTGACTCTGTGCAAGTTACTTGACCTTTCTGTGCTTCTGTTACTTAATCTCCATAAAATACTGATAAAACTGATACTATCTACGTCACAGGACAGTTATGAAGATTAAATGAGTTGTCACTTGAAAAACACTTAGAATAATATAGGTATCTATGTGATCAATAAATCTCAGCCAGGCACAGTGGCTCACACTTTAATCCCAGTGCTCTGAGAGGCCAAGACAGGAGGATTGCTTTAGGCCAGGAGTTCGAGACCAGCCTGGGCAACATAGTGAGACCCTGTGTCTATATAAACATTTAAAACTTAGCTGGGCATGGTGGTGCACGCCTGTAGTCGCAGCTACTAGGAAGGCTGATGGGGAACATCACTTGAGCCCGGGAGTTCCAGGCTGCAGTGAGCTGTGATCACGCCACTGCACTCCAGCCTCCTGGGTGACAGAGCAAGACCCATCAGGGCCGGGAAACAGGGGGATAGGGAAGTGACGGAGCCCCCGTGACTAGGGACACCCGAATGCTGCGGCTGGCAAAGCCCTTCAGAAGAGTGGCTGTCAAACTTATCCAAACATTTCTCTTCACCCTTGTCCTTCACCGTCCTCCTCCTCTGCCTCCCACCCCACTTCTTTAAAGCTGTGGTACCAGTGGGGCAGGGCTGCACCAGGGTTGGCGAATGGGCTCTGATAGTCTCTTGTGCTACAAATCCCAGCTCCCTCCTTTGCTAGTCCTCTGACAAGTGACTTCACCTCTCTTTGCCTCAGTTTACCCCTCTTTATAAAGAGCATAGTAACAGTGCTACTTCTGAGGGTTAATGAGTGGCCAAAATGAGGAAATGCATCTGCCAGCTGACAGCATGCCTATCACGTAGTGAGCGCTCAATAAATGGTGGCTATTCTTTTTAAACATAATCTGCCATAGAGACCAATCTAAGACACAAGGGAAACAAGGCCAGCTCTGCTGAAAGTTGGGGTCTTCCGATATTTTGTGGCGGCCACTGAGGCACCTCTCAAAGGCTAAACCTAAAATCACCCCGAAATTATCTAAAGTTTTCACTGTGCAGATGGGAAAACTGAAGCCCAAAGAGAGGAAGCTAATTCTCAGCCATTCCTGATCCAACAATTTTTCTTGCGAACCTACTGTGTGCCAGGCCCTGTGCAAAGCATCAGGGATGGAGGGGACTGGGGAAAAAAACCCACTACTCTGCCTGCCTTCATGGGGCTTACCCTCTAGCTCCAGACAGGAAAAGATAACTGAATGTTGACCACACGGAGTAGATGCCAGAAGGAAAAACAGAGGGAGCACCATCAAAAGCCAGCTTGGGAGGCACATGTGGGGACAGAGAACCCATTAGCTGGAGCGGGGGGTTGGTGGGGTTACATTGTTAGAGCTGAGACCTCCAAGAACAAGAAGGTGCCATGTGAAAGAGGGAAGAGGGCAAGTGGATGTTACCAGCGCTGTTGTTTGTAATAGCAAAAAATAAAAACCATCCAAATGTTCATCAACATGGACTTCAGATACTATATCGTGGTATTAACATATTCATATAAGGGAAGAATGCCCAGCAGTGCCAACGAATGGCAGCTGCCTGCCTCAATGCAGATGGGTCGCCAATGCACACTGTGCAAGGAAAAGAGCATGCGAGGTAGGATGCACAGAATCCATACAATATATATGCACTTCTATACATTTTTAAGAATGACGCTTGAACTCGAGAAGCGGAGGTTGCAGTGAGCCGAGATCGCGCCATTGCACCCCAGCCTGAGCAACAAGAGCAAAACTCCATCTCAAAAAGAAAAAATTCTTTAAAAAAGAAGGAAATATAGTCCTATGTATTGGGTAAGGATTTATTATATGTAGTAAAAGGTAAAACATTCATGGAAATAATAAACATCAGGATTGTGGCTTCTAAGAGGGTGGATGGGGATGGTGGGGAGGGATACCAGGGACCCTCTGTATTAGCAATCGATCCTGCATTAGAAATCATCCCAAAACATAATGTTTTCAAAGTACTAACAGTCATTTTTTATATCTCACAGTTTCTGAAGGCAGGAATATGGGCATGGTTTAGCTGGGTGGTTCTGGTCCTCAGGAAGCTAAATTCAGCTGTCAGCTGGGCCTGCAGTCATCTGAAGGCCTATCGGGTTGGGGAGTTGGAGGGTAAGCTGGAGAATTTGCTGCCAAGCCAAAGGGGGTTCATCTGGGTGGCTAGCAAATTTGTGATGGTTGTTGATCAGGGACTGGGAAGAGGGGAGAGGGCCTCAGTTCCTCTCCATGTGGGCCCGCCCATGCATCTTGGGTTCTATCACAACATGGTGGCTGGATTCCAAAAGTGAGCATGGAGAGATAGACGGACAGATGGACAATTAAGCAGAAGTTGTATCCCTTTTGTGACCCATCCTCATTCACCACATCCTCTTCATTAGACATGAGTTGCTGAGCTCAGCCCATACTCAAAGGTAAGGAGAATGTAACTCTACTTTTTGAAGAGAGGAGTGTCCAAGAATTTGTGGACATATTTAAAACCATTCACTCTCAATTCTTTTTGAAAAGTTTTAGGCCAGGCGCAGTGGCTCATGCCTGTAATCCCAGCATTTTGGGAGGCCGGGGCAGGCAGATCACGAGGTCAGGAGTTTGAGACCAGCCTGACCAACTTGGTGAAATCCCATCTCTACTAAAAATACAAAAATTAGCCAGGTGTGGTGGCGTATCCCTGTAATCCCAGCTACTCAGGAGGCTGAGGCAGAAGAATCACTTGAATCTGGGAGGCGGAGGTTGCAGTGAGCTGAGATCACGCTGCTGCACCCCAGCCTGGGCAACAGAGCGAGACTTCATCTCAAAAAAGAAAAGAAAAGTATTATTCCTTAAACTGAGCAGTGAGTACATGGGATTTTATTCTGTTATTCTCTGTACTAGTTTGAGTATTAAGTAACAGAGGGAGACGGGCAGTGGGGAGGAGTGTTTCAGGCAGAATGAAGGAGAGTGGTGATGGTGAGTGGCAATGAAGTGAGGACAGTGGCTGATGAGGGCACAGCAGTGGGCAGTGCCCAACCAACTTGTTGGCTGAGGTTGCATCATGGACACAGTCAGGACCCTGGGCATCTTGGAAGCAGCAGAGGCTCTCTGCCCACTCTGAGCCCCCACACCTGGCGTGATCCTGGCCTGGAGGAGGTGGTCCCAGTGTTAGTGGCAATTCCTTCTCTGAACACAGCTCCTGGGTGCCTGCTCTTCTGAAGTGCCATCCACCCCTCTCCCCTGACATCTGGCTCTTTTCCCCAGGAGCATCCTTCCACAGATATACCATTTGTCTATAAACATATCCACAACCACACACACTGGTATCTCCCCCCAAATGGAAGCCTATTATGCATCCTTTTCAATACCCTTCTTATAGCCTTTTCGACATACTTTGGGACTCTTACATGTTAGTACATAGCAAGCTCTGCCACTCTTTTTTATGGCTTTACAGTACTCCCTCATGTGGATGTGCTACAATTTATTTAACCAACCCCCTATTCACACACATTAATTTTGTTGGCCTTTGTTATTACTTTTTAGATTTTAAATGTAGAGCGTTGAGTTTAATAAGACCTCAATTCATGGCAGATTATCATAACTTACCCCTGTGCACCCTCCTTTGTTTGGTTTTGTTTCTCTCTCTCTAGTTATTCCTTTTTATCCCATTTCCCCTTCATATTTTCTGCACCTCCATAGATTCTGATGGGTTCTTTGTGCATTCTGTGGTGTATAAGTCTTCACGTAGAACATAACAGACTTGTATGTGTGGCTTCACCTGTGACTTCTGATTGCTGCCTAGAGCTCTTTGCACCTACCATGTATTCCTTTCTACCACCCCAGTAATGGATACCTGAGTGGCCTCTAACTCTCTGTTGCCACAACAATATGGCCATATCCTCTATGGGCTGATAAGAGAATTTTGTCTGGACATATAGCCAGGAGTATAATTGCTGGGTCATCGGATATATCTATTCTGGTTATCTTTTGCACTACAATAAACTACCCTCAACTTAGAGGCTTAAAGCAACCACTTTGTTCATTACTTTGTGAGTCAGGAATTTAGGAAGGACTCAGCTGGGTGGCTCCTTTCTGAACCTTGTGGTATCAACTGAAACAGCTACGGCTGGAGGTTCCCTTTCAAGATGGCATCTTCACTCATGTCTACAGCCTTGATGTTCCTGGCCTCTCTCTCCATCACATGGTGTCTCATCCTAGAGGACTTCTTTCCATTGTTCGCGGGACTTCCTCACAGAATGGCAGTCTTGGGGTGGCTGGAGTTCTTCATGGCAGCTGGCTTCCCCTCAAGTAATTGTTCCAAGAAAGAGGAAGTAGAAGCTGCCAATCTTTTAAAGCCTAGGCCTGGAAACTGACACATCATCACTTCCACCATAGTTGTTTGTCAAAGCAGTCAGAGGCCAGCCCAGATTCAGAGAGCAGATACATAGACCTACATCTAGATGGGAGGAATGTCAAATAATTGGTGGCCATAATTTATGCACCCAATGTACAGATTTAACTGGACAGATTGCTCTCCAGATGGCAGCTCCAGTCCACACACCCCCAGCGCTATCTCCACATCTTCACCCATACTTGGCTCTGTCCAGCCTCTTCAGATCCCCCTTCACACTGCAGTAAACATTATTGTAGAAATGCTCTTATTTCTTTCCCCAGTGCACGCTATACTAAGTTGTATATTCATTCATTGTGTGTCTCCTCTCCAGAAAATAAGCACCAGGCAGAGGGACTTGGTTGGATTTATTTGCTGCAAATCCTTAGCACCTGAACAGCACCTGGCATTTGGTAGGAGCTCTTACATTTATCTTAAATATTTGTGGAACTCAATCACCCTCCACAGAGATTGTAGCAATTTGCATCCCACCAGCAATGTCTAAGTCTCAGTAACTTGAATTGACCCAAACACATGGTTCATATGCTTTAAGTTCATGCTTCCCCCTGCTCAAGAACCTTCAAGGACTTCCTATTACCTTGCTTGGTGCATCTCAAACTGGAACCCACGACCTTTTAATACTAGGAGCAAGAGTTTCTCCATTTCTTATGGAAAGAAGCCCATGGATGTTTCAATGTTAAGTTTTTATCTTATCCATTTTTTATAAATGATTAGCATGGACTCTCATTTAACTAAAAAATCACTAAGAGATAGAGATACCTCACAAACAATGAGTTCACTGTTCGGGGGCTTCTAATGGTATAATGAAACTCGTCACAACTTAGGGCCAATAAACAACACGACTGATAGCTTGAACCAAGTTCTTTCTCCTAGCTGAGCCTCAGTTTACCCATTGGTAGAATGAAAATAGCATTATCTCATATGGTGTGTTGGGTACTTTTTAACTCATTCAGTCCTCAATGCAACTAGAAGAGATGGGTACTATTATTATTCTCTTTTTCAGTTGAGGGAACTGAGGCATAGGACAATTAAATAACATGTCTAAGTTTCCACATCTGGGGAGTGATGGGGCCTGGGTTTGAACTCCTGCACACAAATAGTCCTCCTCCCACCCCACCCCCAAGGCTGGCTTCAAGGCTAGATATTTATTCTTTGTTTGTTTGTTTGTTTTAAATTTTTTTAGAGACAAGGTCTTGCCCTGTTGCCCAGGCTGAAGTGGAATGGTACAACCACAGCTCACTGCAGCCTTGAATTTCTGGGCTCAAGCAATCCTCCCACTTTAGCCTCCCAAGTAGCTGGGACTACAGGTGCACACTACCACACCCAGCTAATTTTTAAAAAATTATTTAGTAGAGATGGTTTCACCATCTTGCCCAGGCTGGTCTCGAACTCCTGGATTCAAGCTATCCTCCTACCTTGGCCTCCCAAATTGCTGGGATTATAGACATGAGCCACTGTGCCTGGCTAGATGTCGACTCTTGTGGCATATTTTAGGGAAGTGGTGTGCTCACAAGTATAGCCTTTCTGGGGGTAGGGGGAGGAGGTGGCCTGTGAGTGGGAGATAGTCTCTGACCAGATTGAAATATACACAAAAGGCACAGGGTTGAAATCGTGCTGTGCCAAGTCCATGGTCCCCTCTGGGGTATGAACTGAGACTCTCGGTCTCCCAAATGGCTTATCAATAACATCTGATTCTTTATCATTATGGTAATAGTTACCATTAATAACAGCTAATATCTATTGCACGTTCATTGGGTACTAAGACTTTTCTCTCCATTTTTGAATCCCTCAATAGCCCTAGGAAGTTAGTGATTCACATTAACCCCATTTTACAGGTGAAGACACAGAGCTCAGCGGCAGAGTTGGGATTTGCTCCCTGTGCCTCCACCCACTAATGCGTCCTTGAAGCATCTCTGTTTACAGAGGAATTTCATGCATTATCTCACTCGATTTCACAGCCACAGCTTGAAGTCAACGCTCCTATCCTTCCTATTTTGCTAACAAGGAAATCAAGGTGCAGTGCACAGCTCTTTGCAACAAATCTGTCTGCTCTGCCTTCCCCATCAAATCCAGGATGTCACACAGCTGGAAGGTACCTGATTTATAGCTCAGGAAGGAGCACGTCAGGGCCTCTGGGGCACTGGGCAGGGTTCTCAGGCAGTTGCCCAGAGATCCTGTTTACTGGCAGGGCCGGAGACACACAAGACCAGGAAGGAGGGAGGCCCCGGAGACGACCCATGTTTGCATCTTCAAAGGCTTGCCCTGCACTCTCCCATCCTCAGGATTCCCCAGCTGGGCAGTGAGTTGTCACTTCCAAGAAATGTCCTCCAGCCCTGGCCACACTGGCTCAACCCAGTCACTCCAATCCTGCCCTTTCCTCACCCACTCTGCTTCCCCACATACATAGTCCTAGGGAAGGCAACGAACCCCTTCTGGGCTCCTACAGCTCATTCATTCATTCATTCAGCAAACCACTGTGAGTGTTGGGTACTCTTACAGGCACTGGGGAGACATTAAAGAATAACCAAGATTCCTGCCCTGTGGTATTGACATTCTAGGGTGGACGGGGTGGGCGGGGAAACACAATAAGTAAAGTGCATAGTGTGTTAGGTAGTTCTAAGGGCCATGGCGAGAGGAAAATAGAGCAAGTCAAGGGGTTTGGGAGTAGGAAGAGAGGGCCTCACTGAGAAGATGACATCTGAGCAGGGACATGAACAAGATGAGGGACTGAACCAAGCAACACCTGGAGAAAGAATGTTCCAGGCAATGGAGCACTGTCCTTGGCAAGCGCAAAGGCCCTGAGACAGGGCGTATGTGGTGTTCAAGGAGTAGCAAGGAGGTGGTGTGGCTGGAGAAGGGAGAGGGTGGGAGACAGGACAGAGAGGCCATGGGCTGGAGAGGGGTCCCATCATGTAGGGCCCGTGGGCCATGGTAAGAATCTGGCATTTCCTCTGAGTGAGCTGGGAGCCAACAGACGGTTTTGAGCAAAGGAGGGACATGGTCTGTTTGAAGCATTTATGGGGCATCTCTGACTGCTGTGTCAGCAGCACACCGCTGAGGGAAGGGAGGAGGCAGAGAGCTTTGTGGCTGCTGCACCTTCTGGCTGGCCAGAGAGGAAGGTGACATGCCCAGGGTGGTCGCACTGTTCCCGTTACCACCTCTGTGTAACAAACTACCCCAAAACTCCGTGGCTTTAAGCAGCCACCATTTTATTATGCTTAGGAATTCGGGCCAGGAGTGGTGGGGATGGCTTGTTTTTGCTCCGTGGTGTCTTGGTCCTCAGCCGGGAGGACTCAAAGGCTGGATATGAAACAACTAAGAACTGGAATCATCTGGAGTCCCCAGACCAGGATGACTTGAAGACTAGGAGGGCCTACATGTGACCCCACAGCATGGTAGTCCCAGAGTATTTGAACATCTTCTACGGCAGCTCAGGGCTCCAAAAACAGAGTGCCAGTGAACAGTCTCAGTAGTCGCAGAGTCACTTCTGACATATTCTATTGGTTAAAGCTGTTACGAGCCCACCCAGACTCAAGAGGAGGAGACATAAACCCCATTTTTTTTTTGAGACAGGGTCTCCCTCTATCACCCAGGCTGGAGTGCGGTGGTGCAATCACAGCTCACAGCAGCCTTGACCTCCCCAGGTTCAGGTGATCCTCCTGCCACAGCCTCCCAAGGGGCTGAGCCCACAGGCACATGCTGCCACATCTGGCTAATTTTTGTATTTTTTGTAGAGACGGGATTTTGCTGTGTTGCCCAGGCTGGCCTCAGCTTCCTGGGCTCAAGCAATCCTCCTGCCTCAGCCTCCCAAAGTGCTGGGATTACAGGCATGAGCTACCAATGGACCCCACTTCTTAAGGCAGCCATGTTCTAAAACCACCACAAGCACTTAGAATCTTCAAGGAAAATTGAAAGCTTTTTATGTTGGCTGATGCAGGAGGCACAGGAAGGAATGAGAAGTGGCTCTGCTCATCCAGGGCTCACAGCCCAGTGACCAAAAGAGACAGCTACTTCCCAGAGGCATGAGCAGACAGAGAGGAGCCCCAACCGAGCTTAGTTAGTCAGGACAGGCTTCTTGGGGGAGGTGATGCATGAGCCGAATCTTTAAAAATGAGGTCATCAAGCCAAGAGACAAAGGAGAGGTCATCCCAGGGCAAAGAGAAGTAGAAACTCGTGTTGGGAGGCAGGAGAGCGAATGCTTGAGAGATGAATTCTGGCACCAATTGTCTAGGTTTGCATCCTGTCCCAGCCCTTCAAGGGCAAAATTGCTCAGGTCACCTTGCCTCAGTGAGCCTTGGTTTATTTACCTTTAAAATAGGGGTTATAATAATTGCACTGCCTTCAGGGGAGGACATGCATGCAAGGTGCAAACTAGACAGAAAGAGCCTCAGACTGTCAGCTCTGATTAGAAAATTACACATGGTGGTCATCTAGCTCCAGCCCCCTGGTTGCAATGATGAGGAAACGGGCAGAGACTTGCCCAATGTCACACAGCGTAGAAGGTGGAACCTGCATCACACTTCACTGACCTGCCACAGCCTGACCCTCCCTGTCTCCTCTCATTCCTCACCCCACAAGTTCACTTTGAAAAGGTGGGAGGGGGTATCACTTGTTCCTTGGACTTTCCCCCACCCTGTCGATCCTGGTCCCTCCCCTTACCCAGGAATCCTATGAGGCCTCCAGAGGGGATCACCCAACCTGGAGGTGGGGCCTTGAAGATGGGGTGGTCTCTGCTCTGATAAGGATCCACACTATGCCCCCTCCCAGCCTGCGTTCTCCATGTCCCTGTTCAGCAGGAATTCCTCAGTCCAGCATGGAGTTCCGGTGGATTTTATGGGCCAGCCACAAGCAGACAAATGGAGAAGAAAAACATCCCTCCAGAGCCCTGCTCAGCTCTCAAAATCTGATTTCCGCTCAGCCGGAAGGAGGCTGGCTTGCTTTAACCCTCTGTAGGAGGGGACCACGGGGTCTGATTCAAGATCCTCTTTGCTCCATGTCCTATCTTCCCACCGCACAGGCTCTGTTCCTTCCCCAGCAGCTCCTGTGCTGGCCCCCACTTTGCCCCAGGGCTCAGCTTCCCCCGGGTCCCCTTGGTAGAATCATCTCAAGGACCCCAGATCCCAGTTTATGGTCATCATCAAAGCAGCCACTACTGTGAGCCTACTGTGTGCCAGGCACCGTGCCACATGCCTCAGCAACTTGGGCTCAGGGCGAGTCTGGAGAGGATGGTAGGAAAGCACACAGCAGGGGCTGAGAACAGAAATGGCTTCAGATCCAGCTCTGCCTCTCCTAGAAGGTAAGACCTTGAGCACAGCCCCTTAACCTTGCTGGGTCTAAGCTTCCTCATCTGTAAAATGAACTTGGTAATAGGATCCATCTGCTAGGGATCATTGTGAGTATTAAATGATCAGGTGTGCAAAGTGTGCAGCACATAGCACCATACAATGCAGCTGTTGTTACTATCCCTTCTCTCCACAAACCCCGCAGGATGGCCCTCATCAGCCACAGTTTGCAAAGGAGAAAAGTGAGGCCTTTTGGAACACCCCTGGACTTGCTCCATGCCTCGCTTTCTCCAATTGTGAATCACGACGGCAAGCCCTGAACTTATTAAATAATGCAGTCAATTCTTATTAGTCACTGATTGTGGAGTCGTGGATTCATCTACTCACTAAATTTGTAACCTCAAAATCAACACTCGCTGGAGCTCTCATGGTCATTGATGGATACTTGAGGAGTCATGAAAAATTTGAGTTGCCAGTTGGGCGCAGTGGCTCACGCCTGTAATCCTAGCACTTTGGGAGGCCGAGGTGGGCAGATAACAAGGTCAAGCGATTGAGACCATCCTGGCCAACATGGTGAAACCCTGTCTCTACTAAAAATACAAAAATCAGCCAGGTGTGGTGGCGTGTGCCTGTAGTCCCAGCTACTTGGGAGGCTGAGGCAGGAGAACTGCTTGAACCCGGGAGGCGGAGGTTGCAGTGAGCAGAGATCCCACCACTGCACTCCAGCCTGGCAACAGAGTGAGACCCTGTCTCGAAAAAAAAAATTTTTTTTGAGTCACTTGATGCATGTTTCCAGGTGAGATCATACAAAGTGACACGCTGCCTTCTTCTTTCAGCTCTCACACTGTAAACAACTGTCCTTTTCAGTCTATTCAGTGCCACATTTTACAAATTTTTGTGTCTTCCGCTGGTGATTGTACTGTTGACAATGGCCCCGGGCATGGTGCTGAGGTGCTGTCTAATGTTCCTAAGCACCAGAAGGCTTTGATGTGCCTTACAGAGAAGATCATGTGAGTTAGATAAGCTTCATTCAGGCGTGAGTTACAGTGCTGTTGGCCATGAGTGCAATGTGAGTGAATCAACAATATGTATTAAACATGGTGTCTTTCAACAGAAACATGCATAAAACAAGCTTAAGTATTGATGAGTTGATGAACATGTTGGGAACAGAATGGTTCACAGGAACCTAAGCCTGTATTTCTCCTAGGAGCAGTGGTTCAGTATTTGCTAATTCAGTGTTTGCAGTGACTTTCTAGAATATAATTATAGCAAATCATGAAATTCAACTGTACTTTCAGGTTTTTTGGTGCTTTTAGTTGTGAAGATAATATTTGGGAGGCATTTTAGTGAGCTACAGTCACAATTAGTGTTGCTGTGTGACAAATTACCCCACAATTTGGTGTCTTAAGCATTTCCTTATGCTCACGGATTCTGTAGTTCAGGATTCAGAATGGGTAGAGCAGTGAAGACTTGTCACTGTCCATGATGTCTGAGGCTTCAATGGCAAAGACTCGATAACTGGGGCTGGAATTGTATGAAAGCCTCTTCACTCATGTGTCTGTTCCTGGAGCTGGGAGAATTGAAAGACCAGAACGACCAGTCAAAAGCATGTGGCCTCTCCATGTGGCCTGGGCTTCCTCATAGCATGGCAGCCTCAGGCCATTCCAACTTGTTCTTGGCAACTCTGAGCTCCAAACTCCTTGAGTTTTCAAAGCAGACTTAAATGGTAGTTTCATTTAGCATTATCTTGATCTTCCACACCATTTTGGTGATTCTGCCACACCTGGCACTGGTGTCAGGGTCAACCTGAGTCAGGTGGGTACCTGACCACACTAAATTATTTAGCACTGCCTTCAACTTAAAAGTCTTTAAACATGAGCTCATCCTTTCCTTAAAGCGATGGAGCTGAAGGAGGGCACCCATGGCAGCACCAACCTCCTCTCTATTCTTGAACAATTCCACTCTGGCCCAAACTTGCATCCTCTACTCAACAAAATCAGTGCTCTTCAACCAAGTAGGCTCACTCTCCCTGGAGCAGAGTTTTGTGAGCATCTGAGCTTAAACTACCCCGGGGGAGGGTCTTCCCTTGTTATCCTCACCACAAGCAACTTATCAAAGAATTCCTGTCCACTCCCTAGCTATGTGACCTTAAGCAAATTACTTAACCTTTCTGCTCTTTAGTCTACTCACCTATAGAACGGGAATATTAATAGTACTTAGCTCATGAGACTGCTGTGAGGATTAAATAAGTTCCTAGCAGAGTGCCTGGCATATTGTTACCCCTCAATAATATTATTATTTCAATTTACATTGCATTTTCCCTGAAAGAAGTACCACGAAATACACTTTTCTCCACCTATTATATTTTCAATGATATTTTTATGTCCCTTAGAAAGTGGGGCTCGGACATATGCCTGTATGTTCCCTCTCTTACCCTGTCTCTTCCTGGTAACCAGCACCCACCTGCTCACTTCCACTTCACTCCTATCAAACATGCTGTCTAGAAAGAATGGATACCCACTCACACTGAGGTAGATGTCAGTGGCAACAGCCCGGAGAAATGTCTGCTAAACTGTATTCTCTATTAGGTGTCTGGTGTTGGGGGCAGGAAGTGAGTCTTTAATCAAGTAAGCCTAAAATAAGCTCAGAAAATGCAGATTGAGACCAGGCACGGTAGCTCATGTTTGTAATCTCAGCACTTTGGGAGGCCAAGGCAGAAGGATTGCTTGAGTCCAGGAATTAGAGACTAGCTTAGGCAACATAGTTGCCTACAAAAAAAAAAATTAAATCTCTACAAAAAAATTAAAAATTAACTGGGTTTGTCACATGCCTGTAGTCCTAGTTATTTGGGAGGCTGAGGTGGGAGGATTGCTTGAGCCTGGGAGGTCGAGGCTGCAGTGAACCATGATTGCATCACTATACTCCAGCCTGGGCAACAGAGTAAGACCTCGTCTCAAAAAAATAAGAAAACAAAATGCAGATTGAAATGAAGCCCAACAAGCTTTTTTGTTGCAGGATTTCTCCGACTCTTTAACATGCTAATGTTGTTGCAGGTCGCTAGGAGGGGGATATAAAATGCAGCTTCTCTGACTTTTTTTAAAAAAAATCATGGAATCCTGAGCATCCGCAAGAACAAGTGTTCCCAGGAATTCACCCTTAAAAATGATGGCTTGGAGGGACCCTGGAGGGACTGAGTTCTAGCATGGTATCAAGGGCATCAGCCCCATACTAGAGGAACCAGATGGGGTCAATGGAGCATTCTCATTAACTGAACATAAAACAAAACCAAACAAAACCTAGCATCTCTATGTAAGGACAGTTTACGTGTTTATTTAACTCACTCATTCGACAGATATTTCTGGATGCGTATTATGTGCGGTGTACTGATCTGGGTCTTGATCTTGCACTCTACGAATTTCTATGGGATGACGCAAGTGGAAAAAAATGCTTTTGGGCCAAATTCTGCTTCCATCACTTGCTGGTTGTGAGAACTTAAGAAAACCCCTTGTGGCCAGGCGCGGTGGCTCATGCCTGTAATCCCAGCACTTTACGAGGCCAAAGAGGGTGGATCACTTGAGGTCAGGAGTTCAAGACCAGCCTGACCAATGTGGTGAAACCCAGTCTCTACTAAAAATACAAAATCAGCCAGGCATGCTGGTGCATGCCTGTAATCCCAGCTACATGGGAAGCTGAGGCAGGAGAATCCTCCTGGGAGGCAGAGGTTGCAGTGAGCTGCGATCGCACCATTGCACTCCAGCCTGGGCAATAATTGTGAAACTCTGTCAAAAAAAAAAAAAAACCCTTGTAAGGATTATATAATGAAAACAGCTAACACACAGCACATACCATGTGCCAGGACTGTTATAAACGCTACATACATTGACTCATTTAATCCTCATAACAACCCTATGAGGCAGGCTTTACTGTGAGCCCTGTTTACAGATGAGGAAACTGAGGCCCAGAAAAGTTTGGTAAATTTCCCAAGATCACACATCTGGTAAGTGGCCTAACTGAGAACTGAAACCAGGCAGTCAGGCTCCCAAATGTGCAAACTTAACCATGTGACATTATTATCTCCAGAGTTAACACCTATGGTATATAACACCTATGGTTAGTTGTTTTCAATAGCCATTCTTCCCTTCTTCCTCACTAACAGAAACCCAGTGTTCAGCTGCACACACGGACACCTACCTGCAAAAGACTATATACTCAGCCTCCTTTTCAGTTAAGTATGGTCAAATGACAAGATCTTGCCAACGGGATGTGAACGGAGTGAGGTTGGTGTTCTACAGATTAAAGCATGCTCTTCCTTCTGCCTCTTTCTCCTTTTTGCCAGTTGGAATGCAGATAGAATGGCTCCTGTGGCCATGTGGCTCTGTAAGAGAACTAGGAAGTGAAAGCTATGTATGGTGCAGTAAAAAGATAGACAGAGCCTGGGTCCCCGGCACCATCTGTTTTAGTTATCTAATGTTGCATAACAAAACACCCTAAACTTACGGGATTACAACATTGATAATTTTTGTGTTTTTAGAGACAAGGTCTTGCTCTGTTGCCCAGGCTGGAGTGCAGTGGTGTGATCATGGCTCACTGCAGCCTCAAACTCCTGGGCTCAAGCGACCCTCCTGCCTCAGCCTCCAGAGTAGCTGGGAACACAGGCATGCACCAGAGCATCCAGCAAATTTCTTTTCCTTTTTTTTCTTTTAGAGACAGGGTCTCACTATGTTACCCAGGCTGGTCTCAAACTCCTGGCCTCAAACGATCCTTTGGCCTCAGCCTTGTGAAGTCCTGGGATTACAGGTGTGAGCCACTGCGCCCAGCCAATAATTATTTATTATCTTTTTTCTTTGTCTTTCTGTATTATCTTTCTTCTTTTTCACAGGTCCTGCAGGTCAGGAATTCAGGATCCACATCCAAGGAGGCTCACTCACTTGGCTGGCAAATTGGTGATGGCTGTAGGCTAGGGACCTTGGTCTCTCTCCACAGACGGCTTGAGTGTCCTCATGGCATGGTGGCTGCTGTCCCCAGAGTAAATGACTCAAGAGAACAAGGCAGGAGCTCAATGCCTTTATGAGCTACATTCAGAAGTCACATACCGTCACTTCTGTCATATTCTTTTGGTCACATGAGTCAAATCTGATTCAATGGGGGAGGGTTCTACACACGCAGATGAATACTAGGAGGCAAGGATCATTGCTGGCAATCTTGGAAGCTGGCGACCACACTGTGGAATGCCAGAGCAGCCCTACCTCCAAAGGCCTTGAATGAGAGAGAAATGCATTTTACTTGTCTCACTGAAGTTAAGGTTGTGAATATACACCTATGAATTCTTGACACAAAGTAAGCCCTCAATAAATGCTAACTGTCATTAGTCTTTTTCTCTAAGCAGGTTGAGGCATAAGACTTTGTCTTATATTCCCCTCTCTACACACAAACATACACACATATACCGCCACCTTCTAGACTGAGGTTTGGTACAAGGTAGGTGTGGGAGGCTGTGTATTAGCCTTTTCATTCATTTGTTCAACAAGTATTCATTATATATATATATACATATATATATACACATATATACATATATATACACATATATACACATATATATACATATATATACATATATATATGTATATATATATATATATATATAGAGAGAGAGAGAGAGAGAGAGAGATGGAGTCTTGCTCTGTCACCCAGGCTGGAGTGCAGTGGCGCGATCTCGGCTCACTGCAACCTCTGCCTCCCAGGTTCAAGCGATTCTCCTGACTCAGCCTCCTGAGTAGCTGGGATTACAGGTACACCACCACGCCTGGCTAATTTTTGTATTTTCACTAGAGACGGGGTTTCTCCATGTTGGCCAGGATGGTCTCAGACTCCTGACCTCAATGATCCACCCGCCTCGGCCACCCAAAGTGCAACAAGTATTCATTATTGCCCACACCGTGATGGAGGCAAGCACAAGGAGATGGAAAACAACCCATATCTCCATCATTGGGAAGTCAGATAATTCCAAGTGCTAGGGTGCATGTGGAGAAAGTGGTCCCTCATGCCCTGCTGCTGGGCATGTAGACTGAGGCAGCCGTCATAGAGTGCAGTAACTGTATGTATTCTCTCCACCCCAGGGATCCTGCCCCCGAGTGTACATCCCAGAGAAATACACACGGGAGTCCATGAGAGTCACACACTGCAAGTCCATCACAGCTTTGCTTGGGGAGGTGGGAACTGGAGGTAGCCAGCATCCATCACTAAAGCGGTGGGAAAAGGAGGCATGGTGGCACACGCACACCGTGCATGCTTAGCAGCAGTGGGAACCAAGGGACTTGAGCTGGACTCAGCACACAGAGCAGTGTCGAGGAAACAAAATAGCCTATGACACAGATCTATTGAAACCACTATTTATATACATTAAAAACCTCCACACACAAATCAACGCCATGCACATTTTATAAAGACACACATATATCCAAAGGCATGCGTCAAAGATATGGGAGTGGGTGCCCTGTTAGGGGAGGGAAATGGAAGTGAGAATCAGGGATGAAGGGAGAAAAGTCAAAATATGGTGTGATGAACACAACAAGACTTTGCAGCAAGGTTGGCAAAAAGTGGCAAAGAGGCCTTCACCATCTGCTACTCTGAACACTGGCAGAGGACTAGGGATGTCTGGTCAGACCCAAAGGGGCAGCATTCCAAGCAGGAAGGACAGCTGGAGCACAGGCTCAGAGTTGTGCACAGCAGGTGCCTCTGAGAAACAAATGCTTTTTGTAGAAGTGAAGGGTGCCCATGGTCAGGGAGGCAGGGACCAGCCTCTACCCTCTCAGCCTGTGACACCTGTCTCCTCTTACCTGGCAGACTCCTACTCAGCCCTCACAGGCCTCTAGGCTGCCTCAGAAGCCATGTGGTTAGGGAAGGAGCAATGGCTTTGGAGTCAGACCAATCTCAGCTCCCACATTGGCCCACCGTGTGACCTCGGGCAAGTCACTTTCCCCTCTTTGAACCTCCGTATCTTCATCTGTAAAATGGGAATAATGACAATACCTACCTCAGAAGGTTGTGTTGGGAAGGAAGTGAGATGAGCAAAATACACAAAGTACCTGCCCCATGGAGCTTATACTCTAGTGGAGGGAGACAGGTGGTAGACAAATAAATATGTAATGTCTCTACTGCTGTATCCGCAGTACCCAGAACTGTGCCTAGCACATAGCAGGTGCTCAGTTAATATTTGTAGAATGAATAAGTGAATGAATGAAAGTCAGTGACAAATGCTATAAAAAGAAATAAAGCAGGATAAGGGGAAAGGGAGAGCTGGGGGTGCTGGCAGGTTGGAGAAGCCATTACTGTTAGTGCTGGTGGTCAGGAAGGGCCTCCCTGAGATAAGATTTGAGTGAAGATTTGAAGGAAATGAGTGAACAAACTATGAGACTATCAGGGGCCAGGGGGGCCAGGAAGAAGTGGGCTCCAGATTTAGTGGGGAGGCCAGTGTGGCTGGAGCAGAGTGAGGGACAGAGAATGGGGGAAGCTGAGGTCCCCTGTGTAGGTGAGCTGAGAATGTGGTAGGAGTCCCCTCCGCACTCCCAGGGACAAGACCTAGAAAAGTCAATGCTGCTCAGCCCTTTCCCAGGCAGTTGGCTGGGGCCAGCCCCTAAAAACAGTAGCACAAACTCCTCTCAGGTACTGAGCACTCCTGTGTGCCAAGCCCAGCTCTACTGGCACAAACTCATGGAACCATCACCAGCCCTGGGAATGGGTACTATTATTATCTCATTTTCAGAGCAGGCAACTGAGACTCTGGGAAGCAGCTAACCTTGGAACCGGAACTGGGTCTCTCTGATACCAGACCCTGGCTTGCTCCTACCACATTGTCTTGAAATCCTTTGTTTACAGCTCGCCTTCCCCTCTCGGCTGCAGAAGGCCTGTCTCAGTCTCATTCATGGTTTTCTTCTACTCCCAGGGTCCCAAGTGTCAAAATATGCCTAAGGAGCAAATAAATGAATGAGCCTACAAGGCAAGCCCCTCTTCGCCTTCCGGGCCCAGTTCACGCCTTGGTTGGCATCTCCAGTTGGAGGTGGAATTGGGAGGGGGCTGGACAGAGGAATTTCAAGCTGCCTGAGGGTCAGAAGCAGAGAGGAGGGGGAGAAGGGGGAGAAAGCGAAAGTGAAGTGAGCTGGGAGCCCCTGTGAGGAGGCGCAGACAGGGAAGGAAATCTCCCGGTAATAATTCATCGGCTCAGGAAGCAGCAGCCTGGTCTGGGGCTGTGTGTGGGACCAGCCCTGCGGGGAGGGGGCCCATGCTGGCTGTTTCCCTCCTCCCCAAAGCCCAGCCTGGCTGGGGTCACGGTCAAATGCTGGCGGTGGGGGGATCCAGGTGTGGGAACAGACTCTCCCGCAGACCCTGGGTCCTAAGGGGCTCCTCCCCCGGCAGTCATGGGAAATCCCTCGCTCCCTCTTCTTCCCCTAATTCTGGCCTGGATCAGGGAAGCCAGGAAAGCACAGCATGGCAGAGCTGCAGGCATCGTCAGGAAAACAGACGCCCAGAGGAGCCAAAATGCACCTAGAAGCCTTTCAACTCCACTCCCTGCGCTCTGTCTGCTACACCGGCTGCCACTCGGGCTTATTTTCAAGGCCAAGTGGATGCTGGTTTAGCTAGTGCCTGGAGAGAGCTGAGCAGCAGGCACGAGTGAGATCGAGACCCCGGCAACCACCTTTGGCTCAGCAATTCTCTGAAGAGGACACGTCAGGCTGAACAATCTAAGGTTTCTAGAAGGCAAGCAGGCATTGAGGAAAGATAGCCCGTGTGTGTGTGATGGGATGGTGGTGGTAGGATTCCAAGAGGTAGTGAAACCGGACAGGCTGGAGCTAGCGCCGCCACTCCCACCTGTACGACTGAAGGCCGGAGCTCTCTGACCTGTAACTCAGGGCTGCCATCCTGCAGCCTCAGCTGGGCGCAATAGAGTATATAGCACCGAGTCTGGTACACAGTAGTTCCTTAACCAAAACGTCAGTTCCGTGAGGGTGAAGAATTTATTTTGTTAATGGCTGTATCCTCAGACCTAAAACCATGTCTGACACATAGTAGGGACCCAACGAATATTTGTTGAAAAAACGAACGAACTACTGGTGTTTGTGTATTGTGGTTTTGTTTTGCTTTTTTTTTTCTTCTTCTTTTTAAGTTTGTCTTCAGGGACAAGACACTGTCGAATCCTCATTTGGAAAGATTATAGCTTTTCTCCAAGTGTTCTCCACGGACACCACCACTATCACCAATGGCTTGTTACAAAATGTAGGTTCCTGGGCCCGTTCCAGAACTGCTCAATCAGAATGGGAGCAATTTGGGACTCTGTAATAGCAAAAGCCCCTTCCCCAGTTCTTACGCACGTGAAAGCTGCAGAACTACAGGATTAGAATTGGAGGGCAGGCAGACACTAGCTGTTTCTCTGCAATCTGAACGTTCCGAACGAGGAAACTGAGGCCCAGAGAGGAGAAAGGGATCTGCCCGCGTCTCCCAGGTGGTCCAGGCTGGAGACAAAAAGTTCGGATCTGGGCCCACCCCGGCCGACCCTCCCAGACCTCCAGCATCTGCCGGGCTAGCCAGCCGGGAACGGGGGCCTTCGGGGTGGGCCGCCGGCTCCCGGGCCGCTTTCAACCTGGGGGACGGAGGCGGTGGGAGCGTCGCCATTGGCCAGGGCGCGGCGGACGCCTCCCCATTGGCCGGGCGGACGCCTCCCCATTGGCCGGGCGGAGCCCTCCGCCCCCGGCCGGGGCGGCCTTGCCATTGGCCCCTCCCTCGCCTATAAGGCGGGGGCCGGCGGGGCCGTGGGAGCGCGCGGGAGCGCACGGCGGGGCGCGGCCGACGCTGGGACGCGGCGCACGGAGGGACGCGGCCGGCGCCCATGGCGTTCGCGCTGCTGCGGCCCGTCGGCGCGCACGTGCTGTACCCGGACGTGCGGCTGCTGAGCGAGGACGAGGAGAACCGCAGCGAGAGCGACGCGTCGGACCAGTCGTTCGGCTGCTGCGAGGGCCCGGAGGCGGCGCGGCGCGGCCCGGGCCCCGGGGGCGGGCGGCGGGCGGGCGGCGGCGGCGGCGCGGGCCCCGTGGTGGTGGTGCGACAGCGGCAGGCGGCCAACGCGCGGGAGCGGGACCGCACTCAGAGCGTGAACACGGCCTTCACGGCGCTGCGCACGCTCATCCCCACCGAGCCGGTGGACCGCAAGCTGTCCAAGATCGAGACCGTGCGCCTGGCGTCCAGCTACATCGCGCACCTGGCCAACGTGCTGCTGCTGGGCGACTCGGCCGACGACGGGCAGCCGTGCTTCCGTGCCGCGGGCAGTGCCAAGGGCGCCGTCCCCGCCGCCGCCGACGGCGGCCGCCAGCCGCGCTCCATCTGCACCTTCTGCCTCAGCAACCAGCGCAAGGGGGTGAGTGTGCTGCGTCCCTCGCTGCGGCCGCCAGGTCGGGGTAGGCGGGGGGCAGCGCCTCTGCGGGAACCGGAGAGGTGCAGGGGTCCCCAACGAGGCCAGGGGGAAGCGACGTGGAATTCGTGCTGGGTGCGGCACCCCAAGCCCAGAACCACTGACTTAATGCCCAGGCCCCCAAACAGAAGGATGCGGGAAAACCCAGAGTTCGGGTCTGATTTAACTGCTCAGTGTGGGATATCCCCTCCAACGAAAGGTGTGCTGGAACTTCCTTCCTGCTGGGAAGACGGCATGAGGACTGAGTAACAAAGACCCATCTTTTATGGAGTCTTCCTCTGTGCCGATGCGCTCCACATCCACTTTTTTGCCTTCACAAGAATCCCTTCAGGCAGGTAGTTTTTCTGCCCATTTTATCCTGATGAGGATCTGAGCATCAGAGATGGGATCACCTGCCCACATTTACTCAGCTGGGAAGCCGGGGCGCTGGCCCTGGGCTTGCCCGGTGTGTGTTGCCCCCACCTTGAAATAATTGTCCCCTGTCCTAAGATCTAACCCAAGAGCAGGAGACTGAGAAGAAAGGAGGCCACAAACCGCCAACCGAGAGCCTGAGGTACCCAGCGGATGAGCAGTAGGAGTGAAGAAGGGGCCCTCTGAGAGTCCCCAGCCCCCAAAAGGACGTGGTGTTGGGAGAGGGCACTCTTGGGTCAGCTGGAGGGAGCTGGTGTGCAGCTCCTGCAATGTGTCCTGGGCAAGAAAGTGGATCAGGCTGGTAGGGGTGGGCGGGGGCTGTGTGGCAGCAGAGGTGGCCTCTTGGCTGAAACCTTGCCCAGGCTCCAAGGAACCTGCTTCATCCCCCGACCGTGTGCCTTTCTGGCCTGGGCTTTTCCTACAGTAAAGAAGCCTGTCTAACAACTTGTATTCCAGCAGCTACCATTTACATCCGGGGAAACTGAGGCTGAGAGAGTACTGACTTTTGGTGGCCAAGTGGAAGGGCATGGGGAATTGGAGTTAGGCCCCTGACTCCCTGCTGTTTGGTTCTCACAGCTGCCGTTGGTCCCTTGCTCCACCCTGTTCTGCGGAGGCCTCTGCATCTTGGCCTGAGACCACCCTCTGTCTGGCTCATCAGATATCCAGCCTGGTTGCTCAACACTTGGCTGCCTCAGTTGCCCTGAATCGTCGGTCTTCTTAGCCTCAGGCTTGTGCCCTCTCCAGGGTCCCTGCTGCTCCCAGCTGTGGGCCCCTGTCAGTGCCCCAGGCTGGGCTGAGAAGCCAGGAGTGGGCCTTTAAGGCTTCCTGGGATGGGAGGGCCTGAAGGGGCTCTCAGGGATACTCCCTGACTGCCTTTCACCCATTCATTCCAGTTAGCAACCCTTAGCTACCCAACAGCTGCCTTCTGTTGGCTCTGAGAACCCCAGAGAAGCAGGTTGTAGGTCCCCACCCTTCCACCAGTCAGGACCTGACAGTACAGCCCCAGGGTCAGGGCAGGGAGATGAAGATGAGGATGCTGTGGTCTGATGGTGGGGGAGGGGAAGCACAAAGGGATTCTCAGAGCCCAGAGAAAGCCTCCAACCCAGGGTGAGTGCTGACAGGGTTTCTGTGTCTCATTTCTGAAGGATGCTTTAGAACAGGGGCAGGCCGATGAAGGGGTAGGAAAGGGTGTTCTAGGATTGGGGCATACAGCAAGAGCTCAGGCCTAGAGAAGGAAGAGGGAAGAGGTTAAAAGTGGCAGGAGTGCAGAGGGGGAGCACAATGGCCAATAACAGCAGTGACAGCAGCCTTCATGAGCACTGATCTGTGCTAAGCGCTCTTTATGATTTATCATTAAAATCCTGCAACAGCCAGGAATGAGGCGCTGTGGTTATCCCCACTTGCTTAGAGGTGCTGCCAGTGGCGCAGAGACACACAGTCAGTGATGGAACCAGGATTCAAACTCAGGCCTGCCTGGTTGGGACGTGGGATAGGTTACAGAGGGAAGTCCCTGTAACTGTCATGTGTCCACCCCCATAGCAAGCAGGCTGGGGGACTTCTCTGCAGGTCTCAGGCCTGTCCCACAGCTCACAGGGGCCTCCCCTGGGCCTGGCCGCTTCCCTGGGATCTGTCTATGGGACCAAGAACTCAGCCAAATTTGGCTGTAGAAACCATGCTCTCAACCCCACGGTCTCCTCTGGGAATAGGCGAGAGGGGCAATCCTGGCCAGCTATGGCCCCTTGAAGACTCTGCTGGAAGAAAACTGGCTGGCTTGGGGAGCTCTTGCTCCCTTCTGAGCTTTGTGGGCCAGAAGAGCTTTAAGACCCAAGACCCCGTTCCTTTACCCTGAGCCACCACCTCCCTCCCATCCTGGCCAGTCTGGAGTTGGGGTTGCCGTGGAAACAGTTTCCTGTAGCATCTTTCTGTTGAAGGAGGGGTTAGGTGTGGCCCTCTGTGGTAGAATTAGCACGTGGGAGGTGGAAAGGGGGTTCTTGTCTCTGCCCTGTTTTCCCTTTGTCACCTGGGGGTGAGGATTGGACAGGATCATCTTGTAAGGCTCTCCCCTGTTGGTATACCCAGAGGGTAGCTGGGACCAGGAGGCACTGTCCATAGATGATGCTGATAATAATACTTATGAACATTTATTGAACATTTACTTTGTTCCCAACACTGTGCCAAGGCTTTACCTAGATTAGCTTGTGTGATCCTGTAAAGTAATTCCCCTTTACGGGGGGGAAACTGAGGCTCAGTGAGATGAAATCACTTGCCTGAGGTCCAGTAGTTGGCCCTTGGCAAAGTAGGGATCGAAGCCTAGGTCTGTCTCACTTGAGCCTAACTCCTAACCATGGTGCTTCCCGAAGACCCTTGGTGCTGAGTTCCTAAGGGACAAACAAACTGGGGTCTTGTCAGGACTTTTTTTTTTTTTTTTTTGCGATGGAGTCTCGCTCTGTCGCCCAGGCTGGAGTACAGTGGCACGATCTCAACTCACTGCAGCCTCCGCCTCCCGGGTTCAAGCAGTTCTCCTGCCCCAGCCTCCCAAGTAGCTGGGATTACAGGTGCCAGCCACCACACCTGGCTAATTTTTTGTATTTTTAGTAGAGACGGGGTTTTGCCATGTTGGCCAGGCTGGTCTCGAACTCCTGGCCTCAGGTGATCCGCCTGCCTCGGCCTCCCAAAAGTGCTGGGATTACAGGCATAAGCCACCATACCCGGCCGTCAAGACCTCTTCTAAGTACACTTAGCAGCTTACACAGCTGCATTCACATTCGACTGCACCTTGAGATGGCAAGTAAAATCATTTTGTCCCCATTTCATAGATGAAGAAACTGAGGTTCAGGGAGGTGAACAGTCCCAGCATTCTTCTGGGACCCTAGGTCTCCAGCTGACCTCCAGACTTGGGGTGGGAGGGGGCGGCTCTCCCTGTCCCTGAGCACTTACAGAGTAAAAGAGAGGAAGGCCAGTTTTCTAATTCAACCTTAATATTGCACCCCCTCCCCTATCTGCCCTTCTCAGCCACTCCTGCCAGAGTTTGTCTGAGAAGCCCAAGCCCCAGGCTCTGCTGGGACTGTGGCCTCAGCCCTCAAAATAGCCCTGCCTGTGAGTGAACATGCTGTCCCTGGGCTGCAAGAGCCTCGAGGGAGGCTGGGCTCGCATCTGGATGGATCTGCCCCAACCTGGACCTGGGGGTGGAGGGGGCAGGGGACAGAGCTCCCAGATGGTCAGCTGTTTCTCTAAGTGGGCTGAGAAAGCTGCCTGTTCCTCCATCATCTAGCCAGGCTCAGGGTGATGAGCATTTACAGTGGGATTTCAGACACTATCATGTCCTGGAAACAGGACAGATTGTTGGACAACATAGATTTCTAGCCCAGCTCTTTTACAACTGGCTGGGTGCCTCTGGGCCAGTCATTCAGTGGCTGGAGGCCTCAAAAGAGGGGGTGCTTTAACATCTGTGACCTCTCTGGCTTACGGTGAGGATGAAACCCATGTGTCCAGTCTGAAAATATCAATGAGAAGAGCTGGTAGAGACAGCCCCTGTAAGGACTGATGGTTTCAGGGACTGCCGCCATTAGCCCATCTTCCAATGGCTGCCACTTAATTCAGGCGGCCTTGATTGGTGCCTGCTCCAAGTCAGGTCCTGGGCCAAGAGAGCCCAGGCTGGAAATGGGACCACAGAGTGAAGAACTCCTTTTCCCTACCACTCCCTGAGATCCCAGTCCAGATGGGGAGACAAAGGAGAGACCCTGCCTTGTCCTTCTGAGATTCATCCCCATGGAATGTCCCCAGAAAGGCAGGAAGTGCTAGGCAATTTCAGGAACAGAGAAACCTTTCCAGGGAGACAAGACCTGAGAGCACATTCCTGGGAAAGGGGACGCCCTGAGGGAAGTCAAGGAGGCCAGAAACCGAGTCCCCTTTTAAAGGTGGACGAGTGAGCCGCTAGGCATGCAGTCAGGCAGGGGGAGGACCACTGTGGGGTGTGCTTGTTTTGCCCGTGTAAAATATTATGCTTTAAAATATATTGGATTTTTTTTAAGCAACAGATCATATGGGAAAGAAGTAGAAAAGGTAAAAAAGTATAGCGTGAATACAAAAATTAGCCGGGTGTGGCGGTGGGCCCCTGTAGTCCCCGCTACTCGGGAGGATGAGGCAGGAGAATCACTTGAACCCGGGAGGCAGAGGTTGCAGTGAGCTGAGATTGTGCCACTGCATTCCAGCCTGGCAACAGAGCAAGACTCCATCTCAAAAAACAGTATAGCATGAGAGAGCCTCCCTCCCATCCTCTCTCCATCATCAAATTCCTCTCTGAAGAAACCCACTCACAATTTCCCGTGTGTGCTTCTCCCCAGCAATCACAGCACACAGGCGCATTCAGCCTGCCCCTTGCTTTTGTCCCTAAACATTGTCATTTGGCAGCAGTCTGTATCAGTCCAGAAAGGGTTTCTTCTGCTTTCTGTTGCAGAGAACTTGATCGTGTGGCTGAACTGTGATTTATTGATCAGGATCCCTCTTGAGGGATACAGAGGTTAGTTCCAGTGTTCACACTGGCCTAATCGAACCTCTTTATACTCTTTCTCCCCCTCTGCAGGGTGGCCGTCGTGACCTGGGGGGCAGCTGCTTGAAGGTGAGGGGGGTGGCCCCCCTTCGAGGGCCACGGAGATGAGCCTGGACCCTGGAGAAGGAGGCCAGGAGCCAGCCACTGGCTGGACAGGGAAGAAGACCCCAGGAGCCAAGCCCACCCCTTCTTTGTGTAGGGACCGGGGGACCATGGCCTGTTCCGGGACACTCTGGGCAGGGCCCTCGGGACATCTCCACCCGATCCTGGAGAGCTGTGAGGATCCATTCAGCCTGCCCAGCTCTGGCTGGTCAGAGACAAGGCAGAACTTTTGGAAAAACAAAGACTGTTGGTGACAGGGTGTGTGTGTATCTGTGCGTGAGTGTGAGTGTGTGTGAGAGAGAATTGGTGAGTTTAAAATAAAAGCTATTTTTAAATAAAAGACGTCGTTCTGAGCTGAGGAGAGTCCCGTGGACATCGGAGGTCAGAGGTGGGCCCTCCCCTGGACCTAGAGAGAGGCACAGATGTTCTGGGGGCTGCCCTGAGCCCTGGAAGGGTGGGGGTGGGGCGGGGGAAGGCAGGCAGAGCCCCCTCTCCGGGCGCCATAACCAAACTTTCCTCAGTCTGCTGTTTATCAGATGTTCTTAACAACTGTTAGGTGTCTGATATGGTTGGTAAAGAAATCTTAATTTTACTTATTTTTGAATAAGGCCTGTGTTCATTTCATTCACATGGTTCAAAACTCAGAAGGTACCAGAGGGTATGTGTTGAAAAGTCTCCGTGCCCCTGTCCTCCAGCCACCAGCTCTCCTCTCTGCAAGCAGCCTAGGGCACCAGTTTCCTGTGATGTCCCATTCACTATGAATGATCAGGCAAATACACAAATGACAGCACATCGTACACACTTTTGGCTCCTTCTTTTTTTCCTTAATCTAGCTTGGTATCATCCCAAGTCAGTACCTAAAGGGTATTTCATTTCTTCCTGAGCTGCTTATTATTCCATTTTGTGAACATGCCATCCTTTAACCCATCCCTCTTTGATGCGATCACCAACAAGCCATGTGGTTTTCCACAAGTGCAAATGAGTGCATGCTAAAGGGGAATATTCTTACCCCTGTGTTAGCTGAAATGCTTTAGAAGACCGATGACACCCAGAGGCACGTGGCAGGGTGACACCCTGAGGTCCGTCCACCTTTGAAGCCCAGAGCAGCTCCTTCCTTGCCCTGGAGATGCCCCAAGTGGAAAGCCAGCACCTGTTACCCCAATTACACTCCCAGGAGCCCTGGGAGGTGAGAGCTGGTGTCTTCCCCACTGCAGACCCAGCAGAGACAGCGATGCGTCAGCTGATCAGTGCAGCTAGGAGTTCTTGGCTCTCGGGCTGGGGCTGTGTCCCTGTGAGGTCAGGATCAGAGAAGCTCGAGAGGCCCGAGGGTGGGAGAGCCAGGGAAAGGCCAGGGCAGCCAGGCAGCCACCCTCTCCTCAGCAAGGTACATTCATATGCCTATTTCAACAGTTTATTTATTTAACAAACACTTTTATTTTTATTTTTTTAGAGACAGGGTCTCACTATGTTGCCCAGGCTGGTCTCAAACTCCTGAGCTCAAGTGATCTATTTCATGTTTACTGACTGCACTCTGGCCCCAGAGTCCACGTTCGTATCCCCTCTGTTCTGCCTCTACCCCACTCCCCTGCGTTTGACCATCTGAGCCTGAATTGTGGCTCCGATTTTGCAAATTGACAAACAGATTGTCAATACCCTCTGTGTGGCAGGCACTGTGCCAGATGCCACAGGAATGAGCCCGACCAACCTGGTCTTCCTCACAGATGAAAACCGAGGCCCAGGGAGATCAAGGGAGTTGTGGAATTGCCAGTCCCTAGGCTGGAGCAGGCCATGAAATTACCATGCTTAATTCCTTTGGTGTAAGAAGTAGAGGAAGGAGGGCCCCAGGGGGCCGGGGTCCCCCACCCAGGAGAGCTTTCCAAGCACCCTCTACCTCACTTCCCCGCTGTTTCAGGAACACTGGTCGTGCTTATCCTGTGTCCCAGCGTGGCTGTGCTTCCCCCTTTGGGAGCTGATTAGGAAAGCACATTGCTCCCCCTGCGCCTACCCTCCCAGGTACAGCCAGCCTCTGGCAAAGCCACAGGAAAAGGACTGTGGCCTTGTCAATGGCAGGAAGCCTGGGAGTGGGGGCAGAGCAGACACTTGGGTGCTCTGGCTGGAGGCCCACTCCGCCACCAGATTTGCTGGGTGACCCCAGAGATGTTGCTTGACCCCTCTGGGCCTCCCTGGCTCAGTCTCTAACTAGTAAGAGCAGCTAGAACAGAAAGATAAGTATTTGTTTTGCTTTGTGAGATAGTTTTTAATAGACCCTGTATGCACTGGTAAGTAATCCAAGTTGTATCAAATGGTATGCAGTGAAAAGTACAGACCTCCTCAGGCCCCTCCCCAGAGGCAGCTTCCTGAGTGTCCTTCCAAAAAAGCTTCTATACTGATAACTGTTTCTGAAAAAATATTTATAGGTTTCTCTGCCTGTGCTTTCATTGTAAAACAAATTCAAAATGCTATAAGACTCTAGAAATATCACTTATCCCAGAGACAGCCACAGTGAAGACGATAATCCCACCGAGTATTTTTTGTTGTTTTGTTTGAGATAGGGTCTCACTCTGTCACCCAGGCTGGAGTGCAGTGGCACAGTCATAGCTCGCTGCAGGCTTAACCTCCTGTCCTCAAGTGATCCTCCCACCTCAGCCTGCGGAGTAGCTGGAAATACGGGCATACACCACCAGGCCTGGCTAATTTTATTTATTTGTTTATTTTGTAGAGACAGGTTCTTACTATGTTATGCAGGCTGGTCTCCAGCTCCTGGGCTCAAGCGATCCACCTCAGCCTCCCAAAGTGCTGGGATTATAGGCATGAGCCACTGCGCCCAGCTCTGCAGCGTTTTTGTTAAACTAGCACACATACGCTTAACAAATCATTTAAACCATGCTAAGTTTACGCTTTTTTTTTTTTTTTAAGATGGATCTCACTCTGTCACCCAGGTTGGAGTGCAGTGGCGTGATCTTGGCTCACTGCAACCTCCACCTCCCGGGTTCAAGCGATTCTCCTGCCTCAGCCTCCTGAGTAGCTGGGAGTACAGACGTGCACCACCACGCCTGGCTAATTTTTGTATTTTTAGTAAAGACGGGGTTTCACCATGTTGGCAAGGCTGGTCTCGAACTCCTGACCTCAGGTGACCCACCCATGTTGGCCTCCCAAAGTGCTGGGATTACAGGCATGAGTTACTGCGCCCGGCCAAGTTTACACTTTTTATGGAAGTATAAGACACATTCAGGAAAGTGCACAGGGTGTAAGGGTACAGCTCAATGGATTTTCACAAGCTGAGCACACCTGTACACCCAGCATGGAGATCAAGAAATGCAATTAGCAGCTTCCCAGGAGCCAGCCCCTCTTGCACATCTACACATACCGGTTCTTTCCTTTGAATGAGACACAAAAAAGAATAAACTGACAATAAGTCTCCTTCTCTCCCAGCCACCAGCTCCAGTCCCCAGAGGCAATTGCTATGTTAAGGTAACCAGGATCCTATGGATTCCGGCAGAGATGGTCTGCATATATAGGCAAATTACATAGATATTGTTTTTCCACACAAGTGGTAGCATTTCACACACTCCTCTCTGCACTGGATTTTTTTTTCTTAACTGTACTTCTTGGAGACCCTTGGTTGCTTACAGAGCTGTTTCACACCTTTTCATAGCTGCATAGTGCTCCATTATGCATATTTTGCAGCTTGCTATCTTCCTGGTAATGGACAGTTAATGCCCATGAGCCTTTGTGAGCTGCAAGGTCAGCCCACACACGTGACCGGGGAGAAGCACAGGTGTGGTCTGCATATATAGGCAGCTCCTCTGGGGAACATTTTGTAACATTGTCCGCTCCCCCAGCATGCCTGTCGCCTCCGGGATGGTCCAGCCCAGCCAAGCTTCTCCAGGCCAACTTGAGGCCACAGGAGTAAAGCTGCTCAGGGAGAAGAAATCCAGGACTGAAGGGGTTGGAATGACCGACTCAGCCAGGCCACCTTGGACCCCAAAGGGTTACACTCTCCCTGCAAGTCTTGACACATGAAGCAGCAGCACAAGAATAATCTCAGAGTTCATCATTTCACAATGAAGAAAGTGAGACAAGACAGAGGGCAACCTGCCTGGGGTTCCCCAGCAGGTCCTTGGCCCTGTTGGGACACCAAGAACACAAATCTCCCTCCTTGCCATGCAGGGCTGTTTTCTCTGACTCCACAGTTATGAGCAGGAAGGCCTCAGAGGTCACCCATGGCAACCTGAAGCTCAGAGAGGAGCGGTGATGGGCCACGGTTGCACAGCATCTGGAGCTGAGCAGGGCTGAGAACACAGGACCTCTTGCACCCACAGCACTTCAGGTTCCCCTCATTGTCCCAGGCCACTCCCATTTTATGAGGCTTTTATTAGGTTAAAAAATGAAGCACTACAAAAAGAGAGTGCTGAAGACTATGGCATATTTGGTAAGTTAACTTTTTTTTTTCTTTGAGACACGGTTACACCCTGTCACCCAGGCTGGAGTGCAGGTGGCACGATCATGGCTCACTGCAGCCTCCACCTCCTGGAGTCAGGTAGTCCTAGCGCCTCAGCCTCCTGAGTAGCTGGGACTACAGGTGTGCACCATGATGCCCAGCTAATTTTTTATTTTGAGGGGGTTTCGCCATGTTGCCCAGGCTAGTCTCAAATTCCTGGGCTCAAGCAATCCTCCAGCCTCAGCCTCCCAAAGTGCTGGGATTACAGGTGTGAGCCACTGTGCCTGGCCTGGCAAGTTAACTCTTAACTACCTCCACACAGTCAGGAGCGTGATGCATTATTGTGGAACACCATATAATTAGAGGATTTATAGAAACATTGGTTCATGGGACGTACATATGAAGTTGGATGTCTTTGTTCAACCCCATCTGTGTCTCTTACGACTGTATATTTTACCTCGTGTAGTTGTGATATCAAGTATAGACCTGAACAGGTAAATGCGATACATGACTTTGAACTGGATCCTGTACTGCAGAGGGGAAAATGTGACAGGGGACCTTCTTGGTAGAGTTGACAATTTTTTTTTTTGAGACATGGTCACACAAAATTGGGATATGAACAATAGATTAAGGTATTGCATCAAAGTTAAATTTTCTGTATTTGCTAACAGCACCCTGATTGTGTCAGAGGATATCCTTGTGCTTAAGAATTACATCCTAGGCCGGGCGTGGTGGCTCAGCTTGTAATCCCAGCACTTTGGGAGGCCGAGGTGGGCGCATCACCTGAGGTCAGGAGTTCGAGACCAGCCTGGCCAACATGGTGAAACCCTGTGGTGGCAGGCGCCTGTAATCCCAGCTACTCGGGAGGCTGAGGCAGGAGAACTGCTCGAACCCGGGAGGCAGAGGTTGCAGTGAGCCAAGATCGCACCATTGCACTCCAGCCTGGGTGACAGAGTGAGACTCCGTCTCAAAAAAAAAAAAAAAAATACATCCTGAAGTACTATTAAGGAGAAGTATGATGTAGGTAACGTGCTCTCTCAAATGGTTCAGAAGAGAAATAATATATGTGTGAGAGAAAAGGATAGAGTAAATATGACAAACTTAAAATGTGGTGAATCTGAGTACAGGGTATATGGGAGTTCTCTGCACCACTTTTGTCACTTTTCTGCATGTTGTAAATGATTGCAAAATGAAAAGTTAAAAAGAAGTTGGGATCTTGGCCTACTGTGATGCGAGGGCTGCCAAATGGTGTCCTGGCCCCCTCTGATGCACCCTGGCTTTAGCTTGTCCAACAGACGATGGAAAATATCCCCAGCAGACCCAGGTGCCTCTGCTCGTGACTCTCAGGCCCCTGTGCCCCTTAGGAGGCTAAGGTGGTCCCATCCCCCGAGTCTCCTGCCACCATGATTTATGTCCCTATGAGCCTCAGCAGCTGTGAGCACAGGTCCCACTGGGCAGCCGGCTGGGGGGGCTGGCGTTTGCTTCTCAGCGTGTCTAATCCAGACCAGATTTGCAGACCCCATGGGCCTGGGATAGAGCTCCCAGGGGGCTAGGGTCAGAGGGCAGGCCAGCAGGGCCTGGAAACCAGGGAGGCACTCAGGATGAACAGGCTGCGAGACAGAAGACCTAGCCTATTCTAGGTTGGCCACTGCTCCTGTGTGACCCAGGGTAGGCGTCTGGCCCTCTCTGGCCCTTGCTTTTCCTCACGTCAGCACGGCCAGCAACTTTGTCAGCTGGGACACACTGGCCTTGTGGGAGGGAAGGCTGATAAAATCTAGGAGTTGTTTTTTTCTGAATGGCTTGGAAAAATGCCTGACTCTTTTGAGGACCTACTACGTGTCAGGCCTAGGCTATGCACTTTACATAAAATAAATACAGCTTCGCGGGGGGCAGTGGCTCATGCCTGTAATCACAGTGCTTTGGAAGGCGGAGGAGGGCAGATCACTTGAGGCCAGGAGTTCAAGACCAGCCTGGCCAACATGGCCAAACCCCATCTCTGCTAAAAATACAAAAATTAGCTGGGCATGGTGGTGCGTGCCTGTAATCCCAGCTACTCAGGAGGCCGAGGCAGGAAAATCCCTTCAACCCAGGAGTTGGAGGTTGCAGTGAGCCGAGATTGCACCACTGCACTCCAGCCTGGGCAATAGAGTAAGACCCCGTCTCTAAATAAATAAATACATACATACATACAGCTTGCTCAAAAGCTGGTTAGATATGTATTATTATTGCTCCATTTTATAGATGAGGAAACGGAGGCACAAGGAGGTTAAAGAACTTGGCCAAGGTGACACAGTGGCTGGTGGATTTGAATCAGATGTTCTAGCTGCAGAGCCCCACTGGGCTCTCAACCACCACCCCCACATGACCTCACCAGGTGCGTGCCTAGTCCTGATGTTGATGGAACTGACTAATCCAAGGCACTTCTCTGAGTGACATACAGAGATGGCCTCACTTGCAACAAGCCACATAGGTAGGTACTGTTGCTATCCCCATTTCACAGACTAGAAAACCAAGCCCAAGGGCACCCAGCTAGGCAATGGCACAGCCAGGATTCCAACTGAGGGGGTCTAGCTCCAGATCCCACAGCCTGCATCACAGCAGGAGGGTAAAACTCAGCAGGAGGCATGGGATAGAGTGTAACATTGTAGACCAACATAAGGCTGGCAGACTTTGTCAGTCAGTAAGTCCGTCAACAAACATGTTTTGAACTTCTCCATGAACCACACAAGGCTCTAGGGATGATCAGAGAATAAGCCAGATGTAGTACCTGACCTCATGGAGTTTACGGCCTACTGAAAAAGCAGGCTCTGAGCAAATAATAAAAATGGGATGGGTGCTTCTAAGTTATGTGGGAACGCATGGCTGGGAGACCTGTGTCGTCATTAGGAATGATGCTTCCAAGGTGAGAGAAGGCTTTGCCGAGTGTGAATGGTTCTGCAGCTTCCAGGCCACCCCTGCATCAGTATGAATGATGGGGCACCTGCAGGACCTGGGTCTCCCCTAAACACAACCCCTGAATCCCCAACATATCTCCTTTGAGTGCCCAGAGCAGCCCCATGAAGCTGTCAAAGCAACAGAAGGCTGGTTGGACAGAAGTCGAAAATAAAAGCAAACACTTACCTAGCACCGCCTCAGTGCCAGGCACTGTTCCACGGCCTGTAACTCATTTACTCCTCTACGACCCAGTGAGACAGGCTGTCACTATCCTCACACGGCCATCAAAGGACAGAACCGGGATGTGGACTGAGGCTGGGTCCAGAGCCCACTCTCTTCACCTCCCTGCTCTGCTGCCTCTGTGCCAAATGCTGAGCATCCCGAGCGCCTGGTGGCACCGGCGCGTTGTGGGTGCCTAGCAGATACTCGGGAAGGACCAAGAGGCATTGTTCTGTCTCACTCACTCTGCATAACCACCCTGTAAGGCCAACCTAATCCATTTCAGAGGTGGCACTCAAAGAAAAGCAGTGACCAGCCTGAGGTCGCACGGCTAGGAGTGCAGAGTTGGACCTCAAACCCAGCTCTGTGGATCGTCCCATCTGCAGAAAACCCAGTTTGGAAGATATTGGCAGAATCTTGGGTGTTTTGTTTTGTTTTGTTTTGTTTTTGTTTTTGTTTTTGTTTTCAGACAGAGTCTCGCTCCATCACCCAGGCTGGAGTGCAGTGGCATGATTCGACTCACTGCAACCTCCGTCTCCCAGGTTCAAGCGATTCTCCTGCCTCGGCCTCCAGAGTAGCTGGGATTCAGGAGCGTGCCACCACACCTGGCTAATTTTTGTATTTTTAGTAGAGACAGGGTTTCACCATATTGACCAGGCTGGCCTCAAACTTCTGACCTCAGGAGATCTGCCTGCTGCAGCCTCCCGAAGTGCTGGGATTACAGGCGTGAGCCACCGCGCTTGGCCTGGAAGATATTGGCAAAGAGCCTTTAACCATAGAGAAGAAAGGGTGGGCCCAGGGCTCAGGGAGGGAGAAAAGACACTGACCAACTGGGAACTCTGTGGGAACCTCTCTCACCCCACAACCTCACCCCACCCAGGGGCCTCCCCAGGAAGCAGCCAGGGCTGAGAAGCAATGGGGCCAGGGAGGCGGGCCTTGGATTCCCAAGAAGCAGACCCCCTCGCGCCCCCGGGTGGGAGGGCTAAAGAGCCACCCAGGAGCCAGGCTTGTCTTCTGCTCTCTCCACCCTCACTCTCCTCCCAGAGGCAGCCCCCGCTCCTCCCCACCCCCACCCACCTTCCCTGCCTCTCTCTGCCCTTGCAGCCCAGGCCCACCGCCTCCCCTGCCCCTGGCTTTCAGAAAGCCCTGGAAAGGCTTCCTTCTTTGAGACAGGAAGGTGTCCTCAAGTCTCAGGAAGGAAAAACAGTCAAGCTGAACCCACCAAGACCGTCTCCAAGGGGCCGGGACTGGCGCCTGGCCAGGACTGACATCACCTGGGAACCGCCACAGCCGCAGCTGCAGTGCGCCTCCTGGGGGGACTCGCTTTTGCTATTTAAAAAATAATAATAATAATAATAAAACTTTTCCAGTCTGGTGTTTTTAAATGTGCTTTTTATAGTGGGCCCTGGGGCGTGGGTGTTTTGGTGTCTCCTGTCCGCCTTTTCCTCACGTCCTGATTTCTCACACTACACAATGTGGCCTTTGACCAATTACAGCGAATTCCCGGGGATTCTGGGTGGGATCTCCTTCCAGGCCCTGACCCCCTCAGATGATCTCTTAGCTATCTAGATATGCTGAATTTCTTTCTTTCTCTTTTTTTTTTTTTGTTTTTTGTTTTTTGTTTTCTTTTTTGAGACAGGGTCTCACCGTCGTCCAGGCTGGAGTGCAGTGGTGTGAGCTCGGCTCACTGCAACCTATGCCTCCTGGGCTCAAGCAATCCTCCCACCTCAGCCCCCCAAGTAGCTGGGACTACAGGTGCACGCCACTACACCCAGCTAATTTTTGCATTTTTTTGAGAGATAGGGTCTCACTATGTTGCCCAGGCTGCTCTCAAACTCCTGAGCTCAAGCAATCCACCTGCCTCAGCTTCCCAAAGTGCTAGGGTTACAGCATGAGCCACCACGCCTGGCCAAGATACACTGAATTTCAACTTCAAAAAAATAGGCCGGGCGTGGTGGCTCACGCCTGTCATCGTAGCACTTTGGAAGGCTGAGGCAGGCAGATCATCTGATGTCAAGAGTTCGAGACCAGGCTGGCCAACATGGCGAAAATCCAACTCTACTAAAAATACAAAAATTAGCCAGGTGTGGTGGCGCACAACTGTAATCCCAGCTACGAGGGAGGCTGAGGCAGGAGAATCACTTGAACCCGGGAGGTGGAGGTTGCAGTGAGCCGAGATCGTGCCACTGCACTCCAGCCTGGGTGACAGAGTGAGACTCTGTCTCAAAAATAAATTAATAAATAAAAATAAAAAAAATTTACCCATGGTACCAAATTCAAAAGGCGTCTAAGGCCTCAGATGAAAAATAAGTCTCTCTCCCTGCCCCTTAGTCACCTGGTCTCCATCCCCTAAGGGACCCTCTTTTTTTTTTTTTTTTTTTTTTGAGACAGAGTCTCACACTGTCGCCCAGGCTGGAGTGCAGTGGCGCGATCTCATCTCACTGCAAGCTCCGCCTCCCGGGTTCACGCCATTCCCCTGCCTCAGCCTCCCAAGTAACCGGGACTACAGGCGCCCGCCACTCTTTTTTATTTTATTAAATAAAATCTTCTGTAGTGCTTAATGTGTGCCAGGTACTCTTCTAAGCAATTATCTAATATTAACTCATGTAACCCTCATAAAAACCCTATGAGGTAGGGTTTCCACTGACTATTTAACAGTGAATATTGCCAAAGATTTTTTATGCATATAGAAGCACATCTAGATCTATAATCTTAACCCCTCCCTTCCTAAAAAACATACATAGAAGCTAATTATACATGCTGGCCTGCACCTTGCTGTATTTACTTAAACTATGTCTTGGAAGGCCAGGCAGGGTAGCTCACGCCTGTAATCCCAGCACTTTGGAAGGCTGAGGTGCGAGAATCTCTTTGGCCCAGAAGTTTGAGACCAGCCTGGGCAATATAGTGAGACCTAGTCTCTCCAAAAAAAAATTTTATTTTAATTAGCCAAGCGTGGTGGTGCAAGCCTGTAGTCCTAGCTACTGAGGAGGCTGAGGCGAGAGGATCTCTTGAGCCCCCAGAGATGGAGGCTGTAGTGAACCGAGATCACACTACTGCACTCCAGTCTGGGAGACAGAGTGAGACCCAGACCCTGTCTCTCTCTCTCTGACATAAATATCTTAGGAATCATTTCACATTGGTACATAAAGAGACTCCTCATTCATCTTTATGGCTGCGTATTATTCCCTTCTGTGGAAGGAGGTACCATGATATGATTAACACATCCACTCTTGGTGAATCTTAGGGATATTTCCAATCTCTTCTCCCTGCATTACACTGCAATGGATAGCCAACGTGATCTCTCTAAAGCATAGGTTGAACCGCAACAGTCCAATACTCGAAAACTCTCCATCTTTCCCCCTTATGTGCAGAGGAGCATCTTAAATATAGGAATTATCAAGAGCCCCTCTAAGACCCTGGTAAAAGTAATGGACCAGCCGGGTGCGGTGGCCCACACCTATAATCTCAGCACTTTGGGAGGCCGAGGTGGGCGGATCACTTGAGGTCAGGAGTTCGAGACCAGCCTGGTCAACATGGTGAAACCCTGTCTCTACTAAAAAAACAAAAATTAGTCAAGCGAGGTAGCACACACCTGTAATCCCAGCTACTCAGGAGGCTGAGGCAGAAGAATCGCTTGAACCCAGGAGGCAGAAGTTGCAGTGAGCCGAGATCTCACTACTACACTCCAGCCTGGGTGATAGAGCATGACTCCGTCTCAAAAAAAAAAAAAAAAAAAGTAATGGATCACGGCTGGGCACGATGGCCCACACCTGTACTCCCAACACTTTGGGAGGCCAAGGCAGGAGGATCACTTGAGCACAGGAGTTCGAGACCAGCCTGCACAACACAGGGAGACACCATCTCTTAAAAAAAAAAAAAAATATATATATATATATATAATGCAGACATGGTGATGCATGCCTGTGGTCCCAGCTACTTGGGAAGCTGAGGTGAGAGGATCTCTCGAACCCAGGAGATGGAGGCTGCAGTGAGCTATGACCATACCACTGCACTCCAGCCTGGGTAACAAAGCAAGACCCTGTCAAAAAAAAAAAAAATACAAGTAATGGACCTGCCCCCATGCCCAAAAAGTTCATGGACAATCAATCTTCATATGGAACTCCAGGACTCCTGGAAACCCCGTCCGTGGATGCAGTAATGCCAAGACACCTCCTCCAGCTGCATGCGGTGCCCACGGCTTTGGGCTGCACACTTTGGACTGTCGGCTCTCCTGCTTCTGAGTTATGTAGCCTTAGGAAAATTGATTAATTTCACCATGCCTCAGTTTTCTCATCTCTAAAGTGGGGCTAACACAGTGATTTCCTCCTAATATTATGAAATAGAAATCAGATCCAGATTTGGAAGTGTGTAGCACAGTGCCCGATGCATAGCAAGTCATCAACTTGGGTTGGATATTATTTTCGTTGGTGGAGGTGCTGGTAGTGGTGGTGGGAGTATTGTTTCTGCAAGATAAATTCCAAACTCATTCATTTATTCAATAAACATTTGTTGCGAACATACTATGAACAGGGAACTGGGGGGTTCAGGGAGCTGAGGAAAGGGAAAGGTTTGTACAAAACCAAACCAAACCAATGTGCTTTGCATGCCACATGCTCGGGGCTCTGAAAGTGGAAGATGTGAGTGGTTTAGGGAGCACTGAAGAGGAGCTAGCTAAGCCAGCCTGCGGGTGGGACAGCCAAGGAAGGCTTCACAGAGGAGTGATGCTGGGAGGCTGTTGAAGGATGGGAGGGGGCTGTCTAGGTGAAAAGGAACCCGAGTAGAGCAGAGAGCCATACACCAGCCTTGAGGAGGGCAAGCCTACGGCAGGCAGCAGGGGAACCCCATGGAGGCTCTGAGTGACTAAGTGTGGGCTTTGGGGTGAGGAGAAAAGAAGATAGATGGGGCTGGACTGGAAGTTGGGAGGCTGTGGCTCTCACCAAGGCAAGGGCTGGTCAGAGCTGCGGGTAGAAAGAGACCCTGATGACTGGTGGAGGCTGGGTCGGCAGGAGGCAGGGAGGCCAGTTGGAGGCCATTTGGGTCAGCCATATAAAAACAATGACCTCTCTGGGTGTGGTGGTTCACACCTGTAATCCCAGCACTTTGGGAGGCCAAGGTGGGTGGATCACTTGAGGCCAGGTGTTCAAGACCAGCCTGGCCAACATGGCAAAACCCCATCGTTACTACAAATACAAAAATTAACTGGGTATGGTGGTGCTCGCCTGAATCCCAGCTACTCGGGAGGCTGAGGCATGAGAATGACTTGAACCCAGGAGGCAGAGGCTGTAGCGAGCCGAGATTGTGCCACTGCACTTCAGCTGGGAGACAGAGTGAGACTCTGTCTCAAAAAAAAAAAAAAAAGATGACCTCAGCAAGATAGTGGTCATGAAGATGTGCAGAAGAGGGTAGCAGCCAGGAGAGAGAGATAGTCAGAAGCAGAGGCAAGATTACCAACCTGATTAAGAGCAGGACTGAGTGTGGGCAGAGGGAGAATTGAACAGAAACTCTGATTCATATCCCTTCCCTGCTCAGCCCTCCGATGGCTTCCCATCACTCATACAACCAAATCCAAAGTTCTCTCCTGGCATACAAGCCCCTGCTGATCCCTGTACTCATCTTCCTCCCCCTCTCCCTTTGCTCTCTGGGCTCCAGCCACAGGGGCCCACTTGCTGTCCTTAGAACACACCAGGCCGACTCTGGCCCCACAGGATCTGTCCTGGCAATTCCCTCCACCCAGAATACCTTCCCCCCAATCTCTTCAAGGCTTGCTAATTCCCCTCCATTCTGTTCAAACGACACCTCCTTAGAGAGACATGCCCTGACCACCCTAGCTAAAATAGCACCCCTCTGCCAATCCTGTTTTTTATTGTGGTAAAATGTACATAATATAAAGAACAGAAAAATACCTAATGTAAAATTTATCATTTTAACCATTTTACCAGTTCAGTGGCATTGAGTGCACTCACGATGTCGGTCAACCATCAGTATTATCCGTTTTCATCCCAAACACCTCTCCACTAGTCTGTATTCCCTTTACTCGTCTTAATTTTTCTAGATAACAGTTACTGCTCCCTGACACTATGATACTTGTTTATTTCTTGCTCATGTTTACCACCTGTGTCCTTCACCTACAAAAGAAGCTACAAGAGGGCAGGGACTTGGTGGTGTGGCCCACAGCTCTCTCGCCAGCCCTTTGACAGTGCCTGACGCATGCTGGTGTTCAGTAAATGGCTGTGGATGAATTAACTGATGAAGGGCACGCCTCCAGAGGAGGAGGATGCAGGTGAAGGAGCAGACTGGATCTCTGCACGATTAGGGCACATCCCTTCTTGCCAGCTCTTCTCCCACCTCCTCTCTATCCCCATCCTCTCTCCAATCACACTGGACGGCGCCACTTCCCTGCCCTCTTCCACCACCAAGCCTTTGCCCAGGATGTTCCCCTCCCTGGAAATACTGTTTCTTCACCTTCTTTATATATCAAAATCCTCTCCATTTCTCAAAACCCTGCTCAAAACCTACCTCCACGAGGAAGGACTCCCAGATAAATCTTTACACACACTCCAATCCCTCTCCCTTGCCAACATTCCCATGATATTGTTTCTGCCTGGAATTAGACAGGTCTCTTTTTGGTTTTAAGAGACAGAAACCCATCTCAAAGTGGCTAATGCAAATATGTATGTGTGTGTGTGTGTGTGTGTGTGTGTTATTGCCTTCTAGAACCGAGTTCAAGCCTGGGCAACATAGAGAGACCCCATCTCTATAAAAATAAAAACGAGCCAGGCACAATGGCTCACACCTGGAATCCCAGAACTTTGGGAGATAAAGGTAGGAGGATCACTTGAGGCCAGGAGTTCAAGACCAGCCTGGGTAACATAGTGAGACCACATGTCTACAAAAAATAAAAATTAAAAATTAAATTAAATAATAATAAAAATTAAAAATTAGCCAGACGTGGTGGCACACAACTGTAGTCCCAACTACATGGGAGGCTGAGGCAGGAGGATCACTTGAGCCTAGGAGGCTGATTCTGCAGTGAGCTGTGATTGCACCACGCACTCCAGTCTAGGTGATAAAGCGAGACCTTGTCTCTAAAAATTAAAATTTAATTTAATTTAATTTAATTACAAAAATAAAAAGCTCCAGCCTGGGTAACAAAGCAAAATAGAACTGTGTTCAGGGTCACTGATTTCACGGCTGGGTCCAGGAGGTGACCATACAGTAGCATTAGGACTCTAGCTGTCTCTCCATCTGTCATCCCTGCTTTCCTGTCAGCTTCATTTTCAGAGAACCTCTCTCTTTTGGTGGCAAAGATAGCTGCCAGCAACTCTGGCTTACAGTGTATCCATTTTAAAAACCCTATGAAGTGGGATTTTTCTCCAGTAGTTCCAGCAAATTCCTGGGGAAGGCCCCCTCTGGCCTGCCTTGGGTCACGCGCCCAACCATGTGCCAGTCTCTGTGGCAAGAGGGATAAAGTGTTCTAATTGGCCAGGTCTGGTCATGTGCCCACCTCTGAAGTGGGTGTGGGGTTTGCCTGGTCTGAGCTACAAGAATCAAGAGTGGTGAAGAGGTGGTTTCCCAAAAGAATATGGGGAAATGACCAGTGAGCAGACAAAAACCTAGATGTCACTAGAGAGGCCTCTGCTGGAACACTTACCACACTTTCGCCAGAAACTTGAGTTATTTTTGTAGGACGTGTCTGCCCCCAAATTTGTGAATTCCCTAGGGGTGACGTCCGGCACCCGAGCATCTAGCATAGTTAGTGCGTGATAAACACCAGCATTCTTCTCTCCTCCCCTCCAGGTCCCCCGGTCCTTTTTGCCTTCAGTCCATGACTTGGTCAACCTTGGAGGACTCTGTCTGACTAGCGGATCAGTGCACTGGACTGACCAATGGGGCTGCACACAGTCCCTGACCTCTGCCCTCCCCATCTGACACAAGATATCCCCCACCACAGGGCTATCAAGAGGCTGTCAGTTCTTAGTCCACATCATCAGTGTGACCTTGACAAAGTCCCTTCTCCTCTCTGTGCCTCAGTGGTCCCTTCTGTTAAGTAGGGGCTGGGAGAGGCATTAGCCTGAGAAGCATGTCCTCCTTTTCAGCACATTACATACCTCTTTATAATTTTTTCCCTGTCTCAGTACCACCTGTGCTGCAAATATTATGTAATTAATATTACATAATATTTTTTCTTTAAATGGTCCTTCTTCTAAAAACATAAATATATTATGTCAAAAGGAAAGTTTAGGGCCCTCCCTAAATGGAAAACCAGTATCTCGTGCCATAAATAGAAGGTAGCCATAAAAATAAGTACAATGAAAACAAAACAATGTCATCACATTCTAGCCAGATCCGGTGGCCTGCCAAAGGCTCTGGAGGCCTATTCTCTGTTAAAAAGGGAAGTAAGTGTTAAGAGAGGTGTTAAAAACACACCAGCATTGAACAGAGACTTTCTCCTTAATAACAAGTTGAAGGAAAATGGGAAAGGGAGGAAGGTTCTCGCTCTGGGCTTTGATGTTCTTTAGTTGGTGTGCCCATCTCTACTAAAAATACAAAATTAGCCCGGCGTGGTGGTGCATGCCTGTAATCCCAGCTACTCCGGAGGCTGAGGCGGAAGAATCGCTTGAACCTGGGAGACAGAAGTTGCAGTGAGCCAAGATTGTGCCATTGCACTCCAGCCTGGGCAACCAGAGCGAAACTCCATCTCAAAAAAAAAAAAAAAAAATGTTCAGTACATAATACTTGATAATGACAATAAACAACTTATTGATTTACATGTTTACTATACTTTTTAATTGTTATTTTACAGTGTGCTCCTTCTACTTATTAAAAAAAAATAAGTTAACTGTAAAACAGCCTCAGGTAGGTTTTTCAGGAGGTATTCAAAAGAAGGTATTGTTGTCACAGGATATGATAGCCCCACAGGTGTTACTGCCCTGAAAACCTTCCAGTGGAACGAAACGTGGAGGTGGAAGACAGTGATATTGATGATCCTGACCTTGTGTAGGCTGAAGCTAATGTGTGTGTTTGTGTCTTAGTTTTTAACAACAACAACAACAAAATTTAAGGAAAAAACATTTAAAAGTAGAAAAAGGCTTATAGAATAAGGATATAAAGAAAGAAAATGTTTTTATACAGCTGTACAATGTGTTCCTATTTTAAGCTAAGTGTTATTACAAAATAATACAAAAAGTGTTTTTAAAATTTTTTTGTTTATAGAACAAAACAGTTACAGTAAGCTAAAGTTAACTATTGAAGAAAGAAACAAATTTTAAAAATAAATTTAGTATAGCCTAAGTGTACAGTGTTTATAAAGTCTACAGTAGTGTGCAGTAATGTCCTAGACTTTCACATCCAGTCACCACTTCCTAACTCACCAAGAGTAACTTCCAGTCCTGCAAGCTCCATTCACAGTAAAGATACAAGTGTGTCTTTTTTAAAAAAAATCTTTTCTACATATTTTTTCTGTATCTTTTCTATATTTATCTATGCTTAGATACAAAAATACTTACCATTGTGTTACAATTGCCTACAATATTCAGTACAGTAACATGAGGTACAAATTTGTAACCTAGAAGAAATAGGTTATAGAATAGAGACTAGGTGCCTAGTAGGTTGTACCATCTAGAATTGTGACAGTACATTCTACGTTTGCACAAGAATGAAATCACCTGACGACACATTTCTCAGAACATATTCCTGTTGTTAATTAACATATGACTGTATAAATGGCAAAGACTCAGTTTGGCTTCCAAAAACTGTTCCCCGGCTCTCCACCCCAGTTAGAACATAAGGGAATATTGTCCTTGAGGGAGAAATTGTGTCTGTATGGTTTACCTCTGTATTATTAGTATCTAGTACCGATCTGACTCACATCAGGAAAAACTGTAAAATACTTTGAAGCTGAAAAAAAAAAGTCCACAAAGATTACTGGAAGTCCTCCAGAATGGTATGAATTGTCTTTACATCATTTCAGGTTAGCTGATTCTATGGTTGCCGACGCATTTCACATTTTTGAGCTAGCGTACACTTCAATATGTTGTAACAAGATTGATGATAATAAAAACAATTCTCGTCACAGAGATGCAAACAAATTTCTTCTGCTCAAGATGCAGTTGAGGCCAGATGCGGTGGCTCGCGCCTGTAATCCCAGCACTTTGGGAGCCTGTGGCAGGAACACTTGAGCCCAGGAGTTTGAGACCAGCCTGGGCAACAGAGAGAAACCCCATCTCTACAAAAAATTATTTAAAAATTAGCTAGCAAGGTGTCACATATCACTTGTCTATAGTCCCAACTACTCAGGAGGCTGAGGTGGGAGGATCGCTTGAGCCCAGGAGGTTGAGGCTGCAGTGAGCCATGATCATACCACTGCATTCTAGCCCTTTGGCAACAGAGAGAGACCCTGTCTCAAAATAATAATAATAAAGATGCAATTCATTCCCCCCAGTACTCTTGGAAGAAAACAGTTTTGCATCTTTAGCAAATTAATGTAAGCAATCCTCATTACCTATGTATGCCTCTTCTCTTTGGATTCTCCTTTGAACTATTTTTTAACACCTTATTGGTTACCTCATAAATTAATGAGTTAAATAAAATCTTTGACACATGTTCATTTTATATTTGAACAAGAGCGTGATTTTATTCCTTTCTAAAAATTATCTCTAGGCCAGGCGCAGTGGCTCATGCCTATAATCCCAGCACTTTGGGAGGCCAAGACAGGTGGATCACGAAGTCAGGAGTTCAAGACCAGCCTGGCCAAGATGCTGAAACCCCGTCTCTACTAAAAAACAAGAATTAGCCAGACGTGGTGGCACATACCTGTAATCCCAGGTACTCGGGAGGCTGAGGCAGGAGAATCGCTTGAACCTGGGCAGCAGAGGTTGCAGTGAGCCAAGATCGTGCCACTGCACTCCAGCCTGGGCAACAGAGCAAGACTCCATCTCAAAAAAAAAAAAAAAAAAAAGCAAATCTCTAATACATATAATTTGCTTTATTAAATATTTGTTTAATAAATGCTGGAATACACAACGAATATGCTCTCACAGCATTCTGCACTTCTGCATAGCGCTAGTCGTTGGTCACATTTAACGGTTATGGAGCTATTTGTGCATTTATTTGTGTAATATCTCTCTCTCTTAAGCATAAGCTCCATGAGGGCAAGGATCTTGTCTGGTTTGCTCACCAGTGTGTTTCTCAATAACTTTCACAATACCTCCTGGCACATAGTAGGTGATTATACATACACACACACACACACACACATACATATGTACACACATATATGTACATATACATATACACACATATACATACACACATATACACACTTCTTTTCTGACCTTTCACCCATTCCAGTCCCCTTGCAAGTCGCTTTCCTGCGTCTCTCTCTACTGTTGCTGGCTGCCTCCCAGACACCTGGCCTCATCTTTTAGCCCTCTCCACTTTGGTCATCACATATGTGTATGCACATATACATATATGTATATGTGTATATCTGTACATACAGAGACATACATTCAGATATACATATATATGTATGTCTATGTGTGTGTGTGTGTTATACATGTGTATATCCACACATACAGAGGAAGAAGAGAGAAATCAAGGAAGGAAGAAGGAAGGGAGACAGGGAAGGAGAAAGGAAGCACATGGGAAACGAAGAAGGAAACCAGTGACAGTTCTCTAGATAGGAATGGGCTGGTGGCAATCCGAAGCACCCCCCCATCTGCCACCTAACTTCATGTACCATCTATCCTCACCAGTGAGAACATGGAGGCCAAGATGCTTTGTGAGCCCTTGAGCATTCTATTGAGGGAAGAGCTGTGATTACTAAATTATCCCCTCCTTCCCCCAGCTCTGCCCGCCCTGCAACACTGCATCCTCCTTTCCAGACTCTCCTCTGACCTTTCACCCACTCCAGCCCCCTTGCAAGTCGCTTTCCTGCGTCTCTCTCTACTGTTGCTGGCCGCCTCCCAGACGCCTGGCCTCTCCACTTTGGTCGTCACCAGGCAAAAGGCCTCTAACCTACTTGCTCTGGTTCCATCAGATCATTAGACCTCTATCCGGGACTGAAAAAGTCTTCTTCCTTAAGTCTGAGCTAGAAGCTTTCAGGGACACCAGGGTGATTAATCTAGCCCCCTGCCCTCAGGGAGCTTGCTGTCTAATGGGAGAGATGATATGTGACCCTAGGAGTCTTCACATGATAGAGAATATTGGTGTCCATACATCTTCTTCTCATCTACGCCAGAGACCCCTACTTGCCCCTCATACCCATTTTCCCCTTCTCCTGTGGAAATAAAACCTCTCACTTTTACCTGAACACATAGCCTCTCAGAATAAAGACTACATTGCCCAGCCTCCCTTGCAGCTGGTTACTATCACATGACTAAATTCTGACCAGTGGTAGGTGAACAGAAGTGGGGAGAGCAACCTGCAAGTCATAGTTGCCTCATGCCTTTTCCACTGCCTACTGCCTGTGGTGTAGATATGTGGGTGGCATCTGAGACCACGGGGACTAGGGCAACACCCTGGGGGTGGCAGAGCTGCATGACAGAAGAAGCCTGGGACCCAAACAAGCTTGTCCTGGATTATTATTATTATTATTTTGAGATAGCATCTCCCTCTGTCACCCAGGCTGGAGTGCAGCAGCACAATCATAGCTCACTGCAACCTCGAACTCCTGAGCTCAAGCAATCCGCCCACCTCAGCCTCCTGTGTAGCCGGGACCACAGGCATGAGCTACCATGCCCAGCCTACTCCTGGACCTGGGAGAAAAATAATTATATCTTTATGCTATTAATACTTCAGATTTGCCCAGGCACGGTGGCTCACGTCTGTAATCCCAGCACTTTGGGAGGCCAAGGCAAGCAGATCACTTGAGGTCAGAAGTGCGAGACCAGCCTGGCCAATATGGTGAAACCCCATCTCTACTAAAAATACAAAAAAACAATAGCTGGCATGGTGGCAGGCAGCTGTAATCCCAGCTACTTGAGAGGCTGAGGCAGGAGAATCGCTTGAACCTGGGAGGCGGAGGTTGCAGTGAGCCAAGATCGTGCCATTGCACTCACTCCAGCCTGGGCAACAGAGCAAGACTCTTATCTCAAAAAAAAAAAACAAAAAACTTTGGACTTGTGTCAGAATAGACAAACCTGTATACCCTATATTCTAATTGATTATCCATTTTCTTTGCAAGATAATTCAACAAGAAATAGAAGATATTTCTTGGTGGGTTGATGTTTGGCTTGTAAATGATAGCTATGAAAATTCAACAAATTTTTTCTTTCCTACTATGTCCACTATTTCAGAGTCTGAGGATACAGAGAAAATCTCCAGTAAAATGAAGCATATATCTTAGTGAATGCACATGTATGTCTGAGTCACTTATTATATACCATACCCAAAGAACGATGAGAGAGGCAGCAAAGAGGAGTGGAAAGGACATGGAATTTGTAGTCACACAGACCATATTTAAATCCTAGCTTACCTTCTCAGGAACTTAGTTTCCTCATTCACAAAATGGGGACAAGAGTAATAACTGCTTCTTGGGGCTGCTGAGGGTGAGGTATAAAATGGTATGATGCATGAAAAATCTATAGCACACTGTTCAGCACGTAGTCTGTGCTCAATAAAACATGGCTGCTAGAATATTAACAACATTATTATTATTTTTATTTTTGACATGGACTCTCGCTCTGTTGCCCAGGCTGGAGTGCAATGGCATGATCTCGGCTCGCTGCAACCTCCACCTCCTGGATTCAAGTGATTCTCCTGCCTCAGCCTCCCAAGTAGCTAGGACTACAGGCATGTGTAACCATACCTGGTTAATTTGCATATTTTTAGTAGAGACGGTTTCACCATGTTGGCCAGGCTGGTCTCAAACTCCCGACCTCAAATGACCCACCCACCTCGGCCTCCCAAAGTGCTGGGATTGCTGGCATAAGCCACCGTGCCAAGCAGTAACAATATTATTATTAATTACCCAAGTAAAGGTAACAAGAAAATAGTAGGTGGGGTTTTTTTATTATTATATTATTTCCTTTTGAAGCAGGGGCTCGCTCTGTCACCCAGGCTGGAGTGCAGAGGCACGATCTTAGCTCACTGCAGCCAGCCTCAAACTCCTGGGCTCAAGGGGATCCTCCTGCCTCAGCCAGGACTACAGGCACATGCTACCACACCCGGTTAATTTTTTTTGGTAGAGATGGAGTTTCCCAGGCTGGTCTCCAAGTCCTGGCCTCAAGTGATCCTCCCACCTCGATCTCTCAAAACACTGGGATTACAGGTATGAGCCCCACTGTGCCTGACCTGTTTTTCTCCTCACCTCACTGTGCTCTGTCTCTCCTCCTCCTTCTTTCCTGCCCTTTGTCAAATATTCCTGGGGCTTCTGCTGTTACCTCTCCCTGAATGAGAAGCTGAGGTCTAGGAAAATCCCCTTCTCCACCCCATCTACAACCAGATCCTAAAACAGCAGCCTTCTGGTGCTTCGAGGCAGGTTTTCTTTGCTTACTTGTCTTCCCTTGAGTAACTTACTGTTTCCCATAAGAAGTGGAAACAGAACTAGTATAGTAGGCTAGAGACTTGGTTACAAGTCTCTGTCCTGTTAATTAACTCTTAGTATGATTATGCACAGTCACTTCCCCTCTTAGGACTCATTTCCCCCCATAAAAATACCAGGGGACCTTTGGGCTGGGCACAGTGGCTCACTCACGCCTGTAATCCCAGCACTTTGGGAGGCCAAGTCGCGCAGATCACTTGAGGTCAGGAGCAGATCACTTGAGGTCAGGAGTTCGAGACCAGCCTGGCCAACACGGTAAAACCCCATCTCTACTAAAAATACAAAAAATTAGCCAGGCCTGGTGGCGGGCACCTGTAGTCCTAGCTACTCGGGAGGCTGAGGCACGAGAATTGCTTGAACCTGGAAGGCAGAGGTTGCAGTGAGCCACGATCATGCCACTGCACTCCAGCCTGGGGGACAGAGTGAGACTCTGTCTCAAAAAAAAAAAAAAAAAAAAAAAAACAGTGGACCTTCTAATCATTCTTCGAGACCCAGTTTAATGAACTGCCACCTCCTTTGTGAGTCCTTCCCCAGTTCCCTCAGAGTCTGTGGCTCTCTCCTGTGTGGTCTCCCCTGGGGTGCTTGGTACAGTCATTCCTCTGGTACAGCAGCTATCATAGGCTTATTTATCTTTCTCCACTAGACTCTGAACAACTGGAGGACAGGTTGTAGCTTATTTAGTCTGTATCTCTGGTGTATGTTACCTGACAGGCAATATGGAAGATGAAACATAAATGAATGAATGACTGGATAAACATATACAGATGGATGATGAAATTACATAGATCGTAGGTGGTTATGTCGATGGAAGATACATAGATGATGATAGGCATGGCTAATAGATGACAGATGTTTAGTGAAAGAGTGAATGAAGGATGGATGATGCATGGAAGAGGAAGGGAGGAAGAGTAAATTGGTGGGTTGATGTTTGGCTTGTAAATGATAGCTATGAAGAAATGAAGAATAGATTTTGGATGAATATTTCATGCGTGAAAAATGGTGGGTGCATAAATGATGAATGAAATAATGGATGGATGGATCATTGAGTGATAAATAGATGGATAGATGCATGAAGAATGGATAGTTGAGGAACAAATAAATTCATGAGAGATGGTGATGGCTAACTAATGGCAGGTGGATAGGTGGATGATGGATAAATGATAAATGGATAGACAGATGAAAGAATGATGGCTGCTTGAGTAGCTGGCTGAATGGGTGTATGGATATGAAATAGATTGATGAAGGATGAATATAGAATAGATGATAGGTAGACAGATGGAAGGTTGCTGATGAATGCATGATGATGGATAAGGATAGATGGTGAGTGAAGGATGAATGGACTTTTGGCTAGATGAATGAACAATGGGTGATGAATGAATTGTTGGTGTTTGAATGGATATATGAAAAATGCATAAGTGATAGCTGTATAGATTGATGAATGATGTGTGAACAGTTCATGAATAGATGTGTATGTTACCATAGAAAGGCGTTGAGGGTCACTCTAGCCCTGACATTTTGTCTTTGTTTGTTCATTTGTTTTTGTTTTGGGGGATTTTTTTAAAAATTGTTTATTTTTAATTTTTGGGGTACATATTCGGTGTATATATTTATGGGGTACATGAGATGTTTTGATATAGGTATGCAATGTGACATAATCACATCATGGAGAATGAGGTATCCATCCCCTCAAATATTTATCCTCTGTGTTACTAGCCCTGATGATATTTTGTGAGTACCCTCTCTTGGGAAAGGAATGAAACTAATATTTGATGCCTTACATGAGCCAGGCATCTTAATGGGAGCTTGACTTCTAACATCTCAATAATCGCTATAACAACATTGCAAGGCAGATATTGTTACACTCGCTTTACCAAGAGGAAAAATAAGGCTCAGAAAGAGGAAGTAATTTTCTCAAGCCTGGCTCTACCTCGCTTCTGGGTCTATTTTCTCCTTCTCCTAAAAGGGTATTTCATCCCATCTGGTCACGCTTTTACACATCCCTGCACTGCTCATGTCCTGCCTTCTCCAAGAGCCTCCCTACACCCTGGACTTCATGGATCTTCCTAGTCCATACTCAAGACCCACCAGCTCTGCCCTTCTCCACCTTTCACTTGATTCTCACCATGGCTCACAATCCTCATCAGAATAACCACCATTTACTGAGTATCTGTAACGTGCCCAGCGTGATCTTGGAGCTGCACATAAATTACCTTATTTTATTACATGAAAGCCCTAAATATAGGTATTATCATCCTCCTTTTAAATGGGAGAAACCCAAGACTCAGAGAAATAAAGTGACTTATCCAAGGTCACCAGCTAGTTAGTGATGAAAATGGGGTTGCTCCACCTGATCTTTGACAAACCTGACAAAAACAAGAAATGGGGAAAGGATTCCCTATTTAGCAAATGGTGCTGGGAAAACTGGCTAGCCATATGTAGAAAGCTGAAACTGGATCCCTTCCTTACACCTAATACAAAAATTAACTCAAGATGGATTAAAGACTTAAATGTTAGACCTAAAACCATAAAAACCCTAGAAGAAAACCTAGGCAATGCCATTCAGGACATAGGCATGGGCAAGGACTTCATGACTAAAACACTAAAAGCAATGGCAACAAAAGCCAAAATTGACAAATGGGATCTAATTAAACTAAAGAGCTTCTGCACAGCAAAAGAAACTACCATCAGAGTAAACAGGCAACCTACAGAATGGGAGAAAATTTTTGCAATCTACTCATCTGACAAAGGGCTAATATCCAGAATCTACAAAGAACTCAAACAAATTTACAAGAAAAAAACAAACAACCCCATCAACAAGTGGGCGAAGGATATGAACAGACACTTCTCAAAAGAAGACATTTATGCAGCCAACAGACATATGAAAAAATGCTCATCATCACTGGCCATCAGAGAAATGCAAATCAAAACCACAATGAGATACCATCTCACACCAGTAAGAATGGCGATCGTTAAAAAGTCAGGAAACAACAGGTGCTAGAGAGGATGTGGAGAAAGGAATGCTTTTACACTGTTGGTGGGACTGTAAACTAGTTCAACCATTGTGGAAGACAGTGTGGCAATTCCTCAGGGATCTAGAACTAGAAATACCATTTGACCCAGCCATCCCATTACTGGGTATATACCCAAAGGATTATAAATCATGCTGCTATAAAGACACATGCACATGTATGTTTATTGCGGCGCTATTCACAATAGCAAAGACTTGGAAGCAACCCAAATGTCCATCATTGATAGACTGGATTAAGAAAATGTGGCACATATACACCATGGAATACTATGCAGCCATAAAAAAGGATGTGTTCATGTCCTTTGTAGAGACATGGATGAAGCTGGAAGCCATCATTCTCAGCAAACTATCGCAAGGACAAAAAACCAAACACCGCATGTTCTCACTCATAGGTGGGAACTGAACAATGAGAACACTTGGACACAGGAAGGGGAACATCACACACCGGGGCCTGTTGTGGGGTAAGGGGAGGAGGGAGGGATAGCATTAGCAGATATACCTAATGTAAATGTCCAGTTAATGGGTGCAGCACACCAACATGGCACATGTATACATATGTAACAAACCTGCACGTTGTGCACATGTACCCTAGAACTTAAAGTATAATTTTAAAAAAATTTTAAAAAAGAAAATAAAAACAAAATGAGGTTGTTAACTCTGGTCTGTTTGACTTCAAAGCCTGTATTCTAAACCTTAATGCTACATATCTTCTTGGCTACCATGATGTTTGGTTAATCACATTTGTGTGTGTGTGTGTGTGTGTGTGTGTGTGTGTACATGTGTGCCCATGTGACTGTGTCTTGTCCCTCTATGAACTAAAGTAGAGCTATTTTATCACACTTTTCCTGAACTGCCCTCATTGCCAGACCCAGAGAAAAACCACAGGACATCAATGCAAAAAGAGCCACCTTGAGCATCCTGGAGTTCAACCCCTTTATGTTCCCAATGAGATCACCAAGGCTCAGAAAAGAGAAGTAACATGCTCAAGGCCACCCAGCAAGTAGGGAGCTAGGCTGGGACCTGAGCCTGGGCCTTGGTGCTCAGCAAAAATTTATTGATAAAACTCAGCCTCCACTCAGGTTCCTGTTAACTGCTGGGCTGGGATCCAGGAATAATAATACAATAATAATAAAATGGGAAGCAGGTACAACTCTCAGCTCACACCCAAAATAAATAGCCTCCATTCCACTAGGTAGGAGAAACTTAATCTTGGTCAATTCTGGGTGTCTTCTTTTGCTTTTTCCCCTCAGTTCACCTCCCTTCCCCTGAAGTGTCCTGCTCCAGGTGCCTGCACACACACTCAGGCAGTTAGGTTCATGGCTTCCTTGGGTTCTACCCAGAATTAAGGCTCTGGGCCCAGACCTTAGACCCCTCAAGACCACACGAAGTTTCTATTCTTTTTTCAGGGTTACACCAGTGTCTATGCACACTAATTTCCTATATTTCTTTCCTTTCTTTTTTTTTTTTTTTTTGAGACAGAGCCTTGCTCTGTCACCCATGCTGGAGTGCAGTGGCACAATCTCAGCTCACTGCAACCTCTGCCTCCCGGGTTCAAGCAATTCTCCAGCCTCAGCCTCCTGAGTAGCTGGGATTACAGGCACATGTCCTACCATGCCGCAGCTAGTTTTTGTATTTTTAGTAGAGACAGGGTTTCACCATGTTGGCCAGGCTGGTCTCAAAACCTGACCTCAAGTGATCTGCCCAACTCAGCCTCCCAAAGTGCAGGGATTAGAGGCGTGAGCCACAGCAACAGGCTAATTTCCTATATTTCTGACCCTCTGTATTACTTGGGATGCTAACTCAGCTATTGATTTCTCTCTCACTAACCAGTAGGGGGCAAGCAGTCTAGGCCGCTATGAGTCCCATGACGTCAGATACCTGGGATCCTTCCATTTTGTTGTTCTGACATCCTCAACGTGTGGCTTCAGTCTTGTGGTCTAAGACGGCTGCTACTGCTCCTGCCACCATGCCAAATTCTAGCTGGCAGGAAGGGAAGAAGAGGTGTGGGAAGAGGATGCCCCTTTTTTTCTTTCAATGCATGACCCAGAAGTTGCACACACCATTCGGTTCACATATCCTTTGCCAGAGCCTGGTCACGTGGCCACGCCTAAACTGCAAGGGAGACAGCGAAATGCAGTGTAGATACATGGCCATCTGCAGCTATAGAAGAAGGGGAAGTCGGGTAATTGCATGACAGCTGGACATCTCTGCTACACTTCCCTTCTCCCCACCTCCCGATAATCTTTATCTCGTTTCCTAAAGAGGAAAACCAATTTGACTCATCTATTCTTCTCAATCTATTATTTATGGCATAAATTGTACACTCTCAAATTACTCAGGGCTTTGACTAAATTTCCATGACTCTTGTCCTTTGAGACGTGAATCTCTAAGGTGATGGAGGCCACCAATAAATAGGGGAAAAGTAAAATGTATGAAAAAATGCAGGAGATGCCTTCAGTATTACAAAAAGTTTTACAGTTACCGGCCAAACGTGATGGCTCACACCTCTAATCCTAATGCTTTGGCAGGCCAAGGTGGGCATATCACTTGAGCTCAGGAGTTCGAGACCAGCCTGGGCAACATGGTGAAACCCTATCTCTACAAAAAATACAAAAAAATTAACTGGGCATGGTGGCATGTGCCTAGAATCCCAGCTACTTGGGGGGCTGAGGAAGGAGATCGCTTGAGCCCCGTAGGTTGAGGCTGCAGTGAACCAAAATCGCACCAGTGCCCTCTGGCCTGTGTGACAAAGTGAGACCCTGTCTCCAAAAAATAATAATAAAAGAAAGAAAGAGAAAAAGAAAATGTTTTACAGTTACAGATATAATCAGACATGTCTTTCTTGCTAAACCTTTTTGTGGCTTCCCCTGACTTTAGACTTTGGCTCCAATGACAGCTCTTCAAAGAGGCTTTCTCTGCCTACCCTATTTGGTTCCTTCATAATGGACATCACAATATGTAAGTTGAAAATATTTATACATTATTTGGCTTGCAAATGACTTGAGGAAAGGGACCTGTCTTTTCATCTTTGTATCCTCAGTGCCTGGCTCAATGCCAACACATGCCGGATACTCAGCAAGTACATTTGATTGAATGACGAGTTTGTATACAGGGCCTTGTGAGGTGTAAAAAGTGAACACATCTTTTCAGATGACTGAATGGAGTGGACGTGACTCTTACAGTGTATGGTCCAGGAGGAGAAAGCTATGCTTCTTTGACCCTAGAGATCAAAGCATCAACATGAGTGGGTCATCTCCAGTGAATGCCAAGGGGGCAGAAGCATGCTGGAGAGCCAGATGGGTTGGTATAGCTTGAGAAACACCAGTCACAGACCCCTTCTTCCCTCAACCAATGCCAAGATGCCTCTACCCTTCCAGGACTTAAATGAATCCGGGAAAAAAGGGATGCCAGGGAAAGCTTGATTCACCCAACTGAGTTCAAATCTGAAATAATTGGTTTTTGTCTAGATTTTTTTGAAGTTTGCATTTTCTGGCATCGGAAAAAAAAAATAGGAGCTCAAGAGAAGCAAAATTCAGTTGTACAAAATGGAGCATTCCAGTTCTGATAGGTGTATCTCGGCCATATTAGAATGACATCATTCTGGAATCACAGTTGGGTTTACTTATGAAAACTTATAATCACAGAGTTAAAGTCATTGGATATTAGAATCACCTAAGTGTACAATCATAAGCTATTTGGAAAGAATATTAGAGACTGTTTTAGTTTGGGTTCCCCTAAAAGCAGAGCCTGAGACAAGAATTTGGGAGCCGGTAGCCCAGGAAGCCAGAGGGATCTGGGAGAGTGACAGCGAAGAGGGGAAACGGATAAAAAGTGAGTTATTGAGCCAGTTTCCAGTATGGGCAACCAGTGCCCCCAACTCACTGCAGACCTTTGAGTGACCAGGAACTTCCAATGGATAAGAGGATGGGGCATTTACCCACTAACTCCCATTCCCCATTGACTGAGGGGTGCCCCTAGTGGCATCAACTCCTCCCAGGTCCCTGAGAGAGTTCCCAAGTCTTCAGAGAAGCCAAATGACTGCTGGGTGTTTGAAAAGGGATGCTGTCAGTGTGCTGGGAACTGCCCATCACAGCTATAGCTAAAGGCATAGGGGCAGACACCAATAACTATTGATCCAATTTCACCCCAGAACAAGAATTCCTTTCTAAAGGGCTAGGCTGGGGTTCCGCAGTCTACATCAGGCTGGAGGACTCATTTGTTTGATTAGCAACATGTTAAAATAAAATTGGAATCTAAAAGCCTTCCTTCGCACCATAGTTTTCATTTAACGTCCCGACCACTCAGCATTGCTCGCAGGCCTACAGATTTCTGTCACCTGTCTGGCCCCTAAGGCATTTGGCTTTGAGGCCCTGCCCAGCATCTCTTCTAGGCTACAGGGTCTTTAAGGACAAGACCCTTTTCTAGCATCTGTGTCTCCAGCTGCCTGACGTGCAGCCTGGGAGAGGACCTAGTAAATAGGTGCTGTGAATGTAGCTTCTGCTTGCATACTTCCCGGCCAGGGAGCTCACTCCCTTCAAGGCTGCCTGTTGCATTGCCTGCTACCTGCCCCCACCCCTCCTGCCCTCCCCCCAGGCATTCCCTGGGTGGGGGCTGGGGGTGAAACTCCCTGCTTGGGGTGAGCAGCAGGTTGATTTCCTCCTGGAGCTTCCCTCAGCAAACAATGAGACAATGGCGAGCCGGAGGTGGCCTGCGTAAGACGGCCGAAGAGGGGAAGTTGTAATCTGTGCGTGAAGCCAGCGGGCCGGCAAAGGGGCGAGAAAAGCAGCCCAGCCAGACCGGGCCCTCCACCCAGCAGGCCCCTGGGACCCAGGAGGCCCCAACCTGAAGGTCACCTGAGTCGCCCTTGAGGAAAACAGCCACAAACCACTATTCGAATGGAGAAAACAAGGATGGGTGGGGCTTGCCCCCACAACCCTCCCTTATCCAGATGGTCCTAGCTCCTCTCTGCGTAACCCCATCTGCCCACCTTCTAGGCCTGGCTTGCAGGGACACATTCCCAGACAGACACCATCTGATTCTGGCTGTGTGACCTCGGGGCATGTTACTTAATCTCTCTGTACCTTTGGTTCCTTATCTGTAAAAGGGGGGCACCTTCTTCTTCTGATTGTCAAAATGATTTCACCCCTCCATTTATCCAGAAAGCATTTATTGAGCATCTGCAATTTGCTATTACTGTTGGGGATATGGCTGTGATCGAGAAAACGTCCCTGCCCTCATGGAACACACAGTCCTAATGTGGGGAGAGTCAGCAACCAGGTAATTGCAGCAACACCTGTGAAATTACAACAGCGACAGGTGTTACCAGGAGAGGAGGCAGCACCTTAAGATGCCGCAATGTGAGACTCAGCCTAGTCTACAGGACAGGGTGGGCTTCCTCTAGGAAGAGATAGTTAAACTGAGCTGAGCAGGGAGGGAGAGTTTACTAGGGCAAGAGGAAGGAATTCAGGGAGTAACACAATGTCTCAGAGGCCAGAACAACGTGGGCATTAAGGAGGGAGATTCAGGAGGCCTGTGAACCTGGACACAGAAAGCCAGGAGGATGTGAGAGTTGAGGTTTATAAGGTATGCAGGGTTAGCCCCCAGCTCCTACCTCCCATGGAACCTCCATAGGAGAGCAAAGAGAAGCCACAGAAAGTTCCAGTGAAGTGACGTCATCCTGTCCACTTTCAGCTAATGCACAGAAGCTCAGCACAGTGCCTGGGCAGGTGGGCTCCCTCCTTCTTAAGGGCAGGGTCCTGTCCGACCGCATCATGCATGACAAATCACTGCTTCCCCAAACGTTCCTATCACTGCCAGGATTAGGACTTGTTGTGCCCACCTCACAGATGAGAAAATCGAGACTGAGGACAAGGGAGAGAGGGATGCGTCCAGCCCCCTCTGGGTATGGGAGAGTGGTTGACAGGGCATTCTGCAACCTCAGAGAACCTCTGAACACCCGGCCACCTCCCATCTCACAGATCTCAGGGGCAGCTCCTAGCCCTTCTTCCCTTGCCCTAGGGTTCCCTAAATCCAGCCACGTACCCATAAGGGGAAAAGGGCTGCAGACAACTCAAGAATATCCCCCTCCCAGATCATGACACCACATGTCCCCAAAATCTGAGCAGCCACTGCTCTACCTGGGCTCGGAACCAGCCTTTGGCTCTGTCCCCAAAGCCTCCCCCTAAGCAAGTGGCTCCAATCCTCAGAGGCTCATAGAAAAAAACAGCTCCCACTTATAGAGACCTGTAGCTCACAGGCAAAGTGATGGCAAAGGGTCATCACTTTGATGACCCTTCCTCTTAGTCTTCAGAGCTCCATGAGCCCACTCTACTGAGGAGGAAAATGAGGCTCAAGGAGAAGCATCCTGTCCACGCTCACAGAGCCAGGGAGGAGCTGAAGCCAGGACCCCAGCTGCTTGGCCTCCAAGTCACTCCTCCACGTGCGCACCTCCTGTAGAGCCCCGTGGGTCCTTTACAGACTGTGTCACTGCAGGCTCAAAGCCCTTCGTAGCTTCCCATGAATCGAGCCAAAGTCCTCGCCTCACCCAGAAGTCCCCACAGCCCTCTCTGCTGTCTCCCCCACTCCACACAAACCTTGCCTTCTCTTCCCTTCCTTGCTTGCTCCCACCTCAGAGCCTTCAGCACCCACTGCTCCCTCTGCCTGGGCTCATGTGGTGCCCCAGCAGAGCAGCTCCCCCCAGCACCCTCAGAAACTCTATCCCTGCACCCTGCTTCACTTTTTCTTAGAGCACTCATCTGCACCTGCCCCTACAGGAGACATTTACTTGTCTCTTATTGTGAGCCCCGAGAGGCACAATGGTAATTGTCTGATACACGTTTGTCTCATGAATGAATGAAGGTAAGAAGGAAGGATGGAAATTCTCTGTTCCACCCCTGCTGCCCCAAATGCAGCCCCCAAACCTGCATCCCCAGATGCCCCCAACACCTCGCTTCTTGTTCCCTGTTTGGAAAGGGACCATGTACAGCCATCGCCTCACTGGACTGTCCCACCAGCTGTGGCAGATCCAGATCACATCCTCAGTTCTAAGGAGCAAGGAAACCCAAGCTCAGAGAGAATGCCCAGCTTCCCCAAGATCACAGAGCCGCGGTTTCCTAGAGGCGTCTCACTATCCCCGAGGCAGCAGCCCACTCGCTGCAGCTGCGGGTGCCACTGCTCAGAGGGCCCAGTGCAAAGGGAATATTGAGGCTCCGCTCACCCTCTTTCTCCAGGGAGGCCCAGTTATGTTGGGGGGGTGCCCTGCTGCCAACAGCTTCCCTCCTCCCAGCGCTGAGACTCCAGCTCCACGCGTTCCAGGAAATCCAGGCCACATTTCCCTCCCGGAGCCGCCCAGAGGGACCCTCTGGGGAAAGACACAGCATTTTTGAGGAAAAGGAGTGGGAGGGGTATGGGAGAAAAAGTCACCACCAAAAAAAAAAAGAAGAAGAGGAAAACAGTGGCTGGGCCAGGAATGTGCCGGAGTGAGCCAGAGCCAAGCCTCCTGTCACATCCACAGCTGGCCGGCCAGGGTGGGGCGAGGGCGGGGCGGGGCTGGGTCACTCTCGGGACAGGACGCCAGCTGCTCCTGGCGAGCAGGGAGGTGGGGCCGAGGGGGGGTCCCTGCCACCCGCCTGGTAGGGGAGGAGCTGGAAAATAACCTGAGCCGGGAATCAGGACACTGGATTCTGCAATCCCCCCAGGGCAGAATGACCCAAGTTTGTTCTCCAGCCTGGGCCTCAGTTTCCCCAACTGCATAAGGATGAGATTTGAAGAAATGCTGAGGTGGGGTGACTTTTCAATAAGAGACTGGTTGAATCAAGTGAGGGACAGCCACAATTTTTAGCAGGGGTTCTTTACCTGATCTAGAACTCAGAAACTTCATGAACTTAGGTGGGAAAAAATAACTTTATATTCACTAACCTCTAATTGAAATGCAGCATTTCCTTCAAGTATGAATGTGGATCAAGAAGCATGGTAGGGTTAGCAGTGACTGTTACAACAGAAGTCAAAGATACTTTCATTTCATATCACAGTGGTTGCAGATAACATTACATATTGTTTACGTTCATGGTGACCTGCAACCTGCTTCCCCATCTTGTTATTTAATGTACTAATAAAGAAGTTCACCTCATCACTGCATCACAAACCCTTGTTTATATTGCAGTAATAGCATTTCAGTATAATTGGTTTCCTTTGTAATATCGTGCATTTTATTTTATGCATTTATAAAACATTAAAAAAAAATCCAGGTGCAGTAGCTCATGCCTGTAATCCCTGCTGTCTGGAAGGCTAAGGCAGGAGGATCACTTGAGCCCAGGAGTTGGAGACCAGGCTAGGCATCATAGTCAGACGCCACCTCTATTGAAAAAAAAAAAAAAAAAGACTAATTAAAAAAAAACCACATTTTGAGAAGGGGTCCATCCCCACTTCACCATATGCCGAAGAGGTCTATGGAACAAAAGCTAAAAATCCTACTTTTAATGTAGCCATTTTATTTTATTTATTTATTTATTTATTTATTTATTTATTTGAGATAGAGTCTTGCTCTGTCACCCAGGCTGGAGTGCAGTGCTGTGATCTCAGCTTACTGCAACCTCCGCTTCCTGGGTTCGAGAGACTCTCTCACCTCAGCCTCCAGAGTAGCTGGGATTACAGGCATCTGCCACCACACCGGGCTAATGTTTTTGTATTTTTAGTAGAGATAGGGTTTCACCATGTTGGCCAGGCTGGTCTCGAACTTCTGACCTCAAATGATCCACCCGCCTCAGCCTCCCAAAATGCTGGGATTACAGGCATGAGCCACCACACCCAGCCCAATGTAGCCGTTTTTAAGTGGGGAAGTACACTCTTTGTGTAAGAACTAGACCAGGTACCTAAGTTTGCTTGATACACATAAAATATAAGAAAGGAGCCTCAGGCTGGGTGCGGTGGCTCACGCCTGTAATCCCAGCACTTTGGGAGGCCGAGGTGGGCAGATCACTAGGTCAGGAGTTCGAGACCAGCCTGGCCAACATGGTGAAACACCATCTCTACTAAAAATACGAAAATTAGCCGGGAGTCATGGCATGCACCTGTAATCCCAGCTACTCAGGAGGCTTGGGCAGAATTCCTTGAACCCGGGAGGCAGAGGTTGCAGTGAGCCAAGATTGCGCCACTGCGCTCCAGCCTAGGCGACAGAGCAAGACTCTGCCTCAAAAAAAAAAAAAAAAGAAAGAAAGGAGCCCCGACTAAGCAACAGTGGTCATTTCCAGCATTTCCAGGTTCTGAGAGAAACCTGTCACTGAATACCTTGAGTGCTGATTTTTTTTTTCTCATGTACATATGTATTTAGAAAGAGTCAAGATTCGGGAATATGGGTATGTCTGCAGTGGAAAACTCAGCTTTTAAATCTTTCTAAATCCCCACATAAAAATTGGCAAAGCAATTAGGTAGCAAAACCAAAACCCCATGGACAAGATTTACAACAAAACTGGGTCACAAGGTGTCCCCACAAATCCCAAAACACAAACAATAGAGACAAGTCTGCTTGCTCTCAGGGTCTGTGTGGGAGAATAACAGTACTGTATTTGTTTTGGGGGGGAATACATGGATTAATAATAAAGTCTCAGTCCCTGTTCTAGGGCCCAGGATTAATGGGAGATAGGTAATTACATAGACATATATCAAATTGCAGGCCAGGCACGCTGGCTCACACCTGTAATCCCAGCGCTTTGGGAGGCCAAGGTGGACCGATCACCTGAGGTTAGGAGTTCAAGACCAGCCTGGCCAACATGGTAAAACCCTGTCTCTACTAAAAATACAAAAATTAGCTGGGCATGGTGGTGCGTGCCTGTAATCCCAGCTACTTGGAAGGCTGAGGCAGGAGAATTGCTTGAACCTGGGAGGCGAAGGTTGCAGTGAGCCAAGATCAGGTCACTGCACTCTAACCTGGGTAACAGAGCGAGACTCCGTCTCAAAAAATAAATAGACAAATGAAATAAAAATTTAAAAAAAAATTGCAACTGTGACAAAAGTAATTCTAAGAGTTCAAGGTTTTGAATGTATATGAAAGACCCATATTTGAAATATTCCATGGTTTAAAAAAAAGGACAAAGGAACAACAACAAAAAAGAGCCTGGTAGACAGACACATGCCAGTATCTCCTTTGCAGGGCCCAACCCAATGGCTGCGGGTGGCATCTGAGGACAGCTGCCCATCTGCATGGGCTCAAGGGGAACTACCCAGCCCCCAGCTCAGGCTTCCATGCCCACCGCCCAGCATCTTCCTTCACCATGAATCATGTGTTTGTAGACGAAAAGGCAGGGTTATCCCAGCCAGGAAGTCCTTGGAGTCATCAGCATGGAGGCAGCCCCTTAAAGCGGAAAAAACAGTCTTCAGAGGCTGCAGACACAGGTTCGAGTCCCAGCCTGGCTGCATACTTCACGTGTGAGCTCATGGATGCCAGAGAGGAGGCACCTACCCGGGCTCACACAGCAGAGCTGCGGACACTTTTGGATTCCCAAGTGGGCTCTTCCAGCTCCTCTGTTTAGGGGGATTTGGAAGTCCTTGGCAATCATTCAAGGCAGATTGAAGATGAAGGCGTGTGTTATGCCATCTGTCCTCCAGGTTCTCAAGCCGCTCAGGCAGCACCAAACCACGGGCAGGACGAGAACGAAGTGCGCTTGTGACTCACCCAGCTTCTGTTCATTGTCAAGAGCAACCTTAGCAGGTAGGTAGCCTTACCCCATTTTAAAGGTGAGGAAATTGAGGCTCAGAGAGGAGAAAAGGGGACCTAAGGTCACACAGCCCTAACGTGTTTCGACCCCGGTCTTTCAGCTGAGCCACCTCAGTCCCCAGGGCAGCTCTGTCTTGGCAAACCCAACCTGACACTGAGCCTGGGGCCCCGCTCAGGGGTGGGGCCGTCTCCCTGTGAACAGGTCTATTTTTAGTGTCAGCAGCAGGGGCTAGGGGCAGAAGCCAGGAGTGACAATGGGGGGAAGGGGGTGGGGCTGCTGGCGGCCGCCCCCGCACCCAGCAGCCGCCCCATTTCCTCGAGAAACCAGGCAGCGCACAATACAAGGAAAGCCGAATGGGGAGCGGCTGGGGGCTCCTGTGGGGGGGGCTGACCTGGCCCATCAGGGCAGCTGGGGGCCTGGAAGAGGCCTCCGGGCGGGGGGAAATGGACGATTAGTCCAGCTGCCTAGCCCAAGCAGAGTGATGGTTCTGCTCTGCACGTGCGCGTACACAGCCACACATTCACCTTAAGGTGAATCACTTGGGGTCAGGAGTTCGAGACCAGCCTGGCCAACACAGCAAAACCCAGTCTCTACACACAGAAGTCTTTTAGTCACTCCTCAACCAGGAAACGATCTCACTTTTAGCCTCAGAGGCAGAGAACTGGGCCCTGGGGACTCAACGAGGTCAGATCCTGCAGAGGCCAAGCAGAAACTGATTTGGCAGGGGCCAGGTGAGAGGCGCTGCCATGAGCACCCCAGACATTCTGCCAAGGTCTTGGCCCCCTGGGGAAGGCTGCCTCTGCTGGGGAAGTTCCTGGCCTGAAGCTTGGGCTTCCAGTTGAGGAGGACTTCATGACAAGAGCAGGAAGGTGGTTCCCCACAGCTTTCTCTGCCCCTCTACAAAGTTGAGGTGGAGCTGTCCAGTTTTGCCTAGGCAGGTGTGCTGCACTAAATTTGATGCCTGAGATTCTCCTGCGTCCTCCTGAGGCTGAGAATAAACAATCGCTTCTCCCTCTGTCCCTCTCAGCACTGCCAGCCCCTGGGGACAGAGTTCTGGGGCAGTCCTGCCTCGCCATCCCATCTCCACACCCTGGTTTATGCTGTGCCCCTGCCAGGGGTACCCTCCCTTACCTTCCCATTCCCGTTCCACAACCAAAGCTCTGAGAACAAAGACAGTGACACGCTTGTCTGCCATCCCACTCCCAGAACCAAGTACAGTACCCGCAGAATGAGATCCCTGCCTCCTCCTGGGGGCCTCTCCTCCACTCTCTCACCATGGATGAAGTTATCCTGTTGGACCTTCTTGACTGCCAAGTGAGACAGACTTTTTCATCTCCAATTTAAGGAAAAGAAAACTGAGACTCAGAGAGAGGATGTGGCCTGATGAAGATTACACAACGGACAGCGGCCCAGGCAGACTCAGGTGTAGACCCAGGGCTCCCTGACCGTGTCTCCACAAGCCCATGTGCACCCCCGGCCATCAGCTGTCAAGTCTGAAACTGATGTTCATGAGGTGGCTCCTTGCCATAGAGGTGCAGCTGAAGGATGAAAGACTGGGAAAGGTTGGGAAGATGGGATGGGACCTGGATGTATATTAGCAATGGAGTCAACAAGACCGGTAGATAAACCCAAAGCAAGGGATGGACAAAATGAGTGCTTTTGTTTTTATGTAAATTATATCCTGAATTTTGATTGTATGTGATTTTTAAAAATGGGTATCAGGGCCGGGTGCGGTGGCTCACATCTATAATCCCAGCACTTTGGGTGGCCGAGGCGGGCAGATCACTAGAGGTCAGGAGCTCGAGACCAGCCTGGCCAACATAGTGAAACCCTGTCTCTCCTAAAAATACAAAAATTAGCCAGGCGTGGTGGCAGGTGCCTGTAATCCCAGCTACTCGGGAGGCTGAGCCAGGAGAATCGCTTGAACCTGGGAGGTGGAGGTTGCAGTGAGCCAAGATCGTGCCACTGCATTCCAGCCTGGGCCACAGAGTGAGGCTTTCTCTCAAAATAATAATAATAATAATAAATAAATAAAAATGGGCACTATCCTGTCAACCTTGAGATTTTTATGACTGCATTTTTTCTGGTAATGGAGGATGTCTTGTCCCAGATGTTTTACGAGGCCCAACACTGAGATTGCATTTAGGTACCTGCTTAACTTATTTCCTGGAGTGGAGAGGGCAGCAAAGAGAATGCAGGCTGCTGTTGATTGAGCAAATACTACGGGCAGTGCTGAGCTCTACTGATGGGAAATTCACTTTCCCCCAACACTGATGAGATTGGTGCTCTTATTATCCCAACTTCACAACATGGAAGAAAGGTGGGAGAAGGGAATTGAACTCAACAGCCTGGCTCCAGAGTCCCCATTCTCCTCTGTGCACCATCCTGAGAGAGGGTGCAGGGGCCACTGTTCAGCCTTCCCAGTGCTTTCTGTTTTCTGGCCTCAAATGTATCCCACCCCTTCCACAAAACAAAAGCCCAGAAGTGAGGACATGTCCTTCTTTTTTTTATTTTTATTTTTATTTTTATTTTTATTTTTTTTGAGACATTGTTTCACTCTTGTTGCCCAGACTGGAGTGCAATGGCGTGATCTCGGCTCACCGCAACCTCCTCCACCTCCCAGGTTCAAGTGATTCTCTTGCCTCAGCCTCCCAAGTAGCTGGGATTACAGGCATAAACCACCATGCCCGGCTAATCTTGTATTTTCAGTAGAGACGGGTTTCTCCATGTTGTTCAGGCTGGTCTCAAACTCACCACGTCAGGTGATCCGCCCGCCTCAGCCTCCCAAAATGCTGGGATTACAGGTGTAAGCCACCGCGCCCGGCTGACATGCCCTTCTTAAAAGGCAATTTGGGCTGGACATGATGGTTCACGCCTGTAATCCCAGCACTTTGGCAGGCAGAGGCGGTGGATTACCTGAGGTCAGGAGTTCGAGACCAGCCTGACCAACGTGATGAAACCCTGTCTTTACTAAATACAAAAAATTAGCCAGGCATGGTGGCACATGCCTGTAATCCCAGCTACTTGGGAGGCTGAGGCAGGAGAATCACTTGAACCCGGGAGGCGGAGGTTGCAGTGAGCCAAGATTGCACTATTGCACTCCAACCTGGGTGACAAGAACAAAATTCTGTCTCAAAATAAATAAATAAAAATAAAAGGCAGTTTGGTGCTATTACCTGGGGGACCCCGAAGGGGCCTCCAGGCCATCCTGGGCAGCTTGTCAACATGTTCCTCCCAACACCTGTGGCCAGCTTGTTCCATTTCCTGGCTGTGTGACCTGGGGCACGTGACTCTGCTTGTCCACGCCTCTGCTTGTTCATCTGTAAAATTAGGATAAAAATATCATCTATCTTTGATGGGTACAAAGTTTCTTTGGGGGGGGTGTTGAAAATATTTTGGAACTAGACAGAAGTGTGGCTGTACAATGTCGTGAATATACTAAATGCCGCTGAGATGTATACTTTCAAATGGTTGATTTATATTATGTGAATTTCATCTCAATTAAAAAAAAATCAGTCCAGAGACAAATAGACATAAATGTACAAAAATATGATCTACCTAAAATCTGTACTGAAGATTAAAAGCATTCCATGTCAAGCAACCACTTAGAATAGTTTGTGACCCACAGAAAGCATGCAATAAATATTTTTGTTTCTGTTGATATTTAGCACCCCAGATCGTTGGCCAAACTGCTGTGCTCATTGACCAGCCTCCTCACTGGGCTCCCTGCATCAGCCCTTGCCTGCTCTACCCTCCAGTCTTCTTCAGTGGTGGCCAGAACATCTCTCAGGGGGATTCTGGTAAAACCTGAGTCAGGTCACAACACATACCTCTGCTCAAAACCTTCCAATGTCACAGGCCACAGTGGCCTACACCTGTAGTCCCAGCACTTTGGGAGGCCGAGGCAGGTGGATCAGTTGAGGTCAGGAGTTCAAGACCAGCTTGGCCAACATGGTGAAACCCTGTCTCTACTAAAAATACAAAAATTAGCCAAGCGTGGTGGTACACACCTGTAATCCCAGCTACTTGGGAGGCTGAGGCAAGAGAATCGCTTGAATGTGGGAGGTGGAGGTTGCAGTGAGCCGAGATGTGCCACTGCACTCCAGCCTGGGTGACAGAGCGAGAATCCCTCTCAAAAACAAACAAACAAACAAACACACACACATAAAAATCCTTCAATGTCCATGTCACATGAGATGCAGCTAAAATCCATAGAGTGGCCTTTGAGGCCCTATGTGATCTGCCCCCCGGACTCTACCCTCATCTTCCTTCACTCTCTTATCTCTCACCAGCAGCCACACTGGCCTCCTTGCTTGGTGCCCTCCTTCCTCCACAGCAGCATCTTCTTGCCTCAAGGCCTTTGCCCTGGCCTTTGCGCTTGCCTGAAATGCTCTTCCCCCAGATTCATAGCTACTGCCTCATCTCCTTCAGGCCTCTGTGCAGATGACACCTTCTCAGAGGGGCCCTCCCTGACCGCCATCACAAAATAGGTAGACTCCAATCCATTCATTTTCCCCTGATCACCTTTACAGCCAAAAGTGATACTGGATACCAATTCATTTTCTGCTTTTTGTCCATCTCTCCTATGAGATTGGGGGCTCCTTAACGAAGGTGTTAGTCTCTCTTCAGAGGGACTTTGTTTCCTGCTGGGAGCCCAGCCTGGCCCTTGGTGAATCCTCCATAGATATTTGTTGAAGGAAGGAAGTCAGGCCTGGGACAGTGTCCTATGGCTCATTCTGTCATTCAGCTGGACTCAAGTGTGTTGAGCCTCGAAGGCTGAATCCTGGGCTCACCTCAAGTGGCCCCAACCTCTCATAACACAGGAATGATAGGGTATCTACTGAAGGCAACCCTCTATCCAGTTCGGGGTCTTGCTACCTGCTAAAACTGGGACCCAGGACCCCAGCCCAAGGGCCTGGCCCACCCCTTCCCATCCCTGGCCTTCTCTCTTGGAACGGGGCTTCCTCCCCAGATAGTTGTTCCTTCTAGCTCCTGAGCTCTTCTCTTCCTCCTTGTCTTGGCCCCAGCTACATCTCCTCATGCCTTTATCTCTCCCCTCAGTGGCTCTAGGGGGAAGGGGCACTTCCGTCCCTCCTCTCCTTCTCTGCCTTCCTAGCCTGAGTCCTGAAACCTCCCTTCAGGCTCAGCACCCCTACCGCCTCTCCCTCTCACTTCCAGCCACTTCCAGGTGGGATTGGAGGAATCGGTGCCAGGCAGGAGTGGCTAGGGGAGCCTCGGGTCCTTCCAAGGCCCTCTCAGCCTCTGACTTGCTGTGCAACCCTTGCTCTACTCAGAGTCAAGCATGGGATGAGGCGCTCTACGTTCCAGCTGAGTAGCCTTAGGCAAGTCACTTGACCTCACTATGCCTCCCATTTCCTCAGCTGAAGAATGGGGGTCAAGGCAACACCCACTTCAAAGTGTTTTGGAAGAATAAAATAAGGCCTGTCAAGCACTTAGCAGAGTGCTTAAAGCTTGGAGAATTTATCTTAACACAGGGTGCAGTGCAATGCTATGGAAGGACTTTGTAAGTTGCAAGGCCCTAAACCACCCTTGGCTGTGTGTTTGTGCCATGTTTCTGATCCAAAGAACCCAGAACTGTGAGGGAGAACCTCCCAGTGGCCTCTAATCCATGACAGATGTTATCTGCCATCACTGTTACTAACGTTATGTGACCATTAACATTCTCAGGTTTCAGAAAGGCCACAGTCAAAGGCCCATCTCCTGTGAGACTGGGGTTAAGGTCCCAGAGAACACTTTAGAATGTCATCCCTCCAGCTGAGCCCACTGTTCCCCGGGGTCCTCTCAATAATCCAAAACAGGGAAGAGTCATTACTGTTCCACTTTACAGATCTGGGAGCTGGAACCCAGAGCTTCAAGCTGCCTGACCCCAAAGCCCAAGCTCTATCCCTGTTCTTGGTTGGCCAACTGGAGTCCCTGTCCAGCCGTCCATACCTATGCCTACCTGGACACCCTGTGGGGACTCCTGTGAGGTCCCTCACACCTCTGCTAAGCAAGCTCCCTCCCCAGTCTTTGCCGGGTACTGCCTATCCTTCCAGGACCCTTCTGATCCCAGCCAGGCCAGGGATGGCCAATGCCGGGTCAATCACTTTCCCTCCTGATTCCAGAACAGAAGAGGCTGGTGCCACTGTAAGCCTAAGAGGCCCCAGGCCTAGATTTGTTCATAAATATTACCAACAGCTACCAAGCAGGAGGGGCTCTTATTCCCATCTTAAACTGTGGCTCAGAGAAATCAGGTGAACATAGCTAGGGAGAGTGTGAGCTAGAGTTGAGATTCAGGTCTCTCTGACTCCAAAATGCATGATGTCAGCCTTAGAACAGCTCAGCGACATCAGGTGACTTATTTCTCAGTTCTAGTCCTCAGTTTTCTCATCTCTAAAATGGAGACATTAACGTTGCATGGGATTTGTTCAGTTGTAAGGATTAAATTGGATGAGTTTTTAAAATTCCCAGAGCCTCACTGGGCACATGGGTGTGGCATCCCTGAAGGATTGGGGGCCTTGAAGTCAGGCAGACATGGGGGCCGAGTGCCAGTTTTATCACTTTTGCTCATGGAGACAATGATTTCTCCTCTCTGAGCCTCATAGACCCATCTGGAAAACAGGAATGATCGGCCCCTCTCACAGAGATAGTGCTAATGCCAAAGTTTTGCTTTTAAAAGCTAAAAACATGGCTGTCAGGCCAGGTGTGGTGGCTCACACCTGTAATCCAGCGCTTTGGAAGGCTGGGGCCAGGAGCAGTCTGTGTTTTAGCAAAAGCCCTCCAGGAATCAAGAACCCACAAGTTAGAAGCGTGACCCAGAGTCGTCACCTGGTGGTATTTTGTGGAAACTACAGCATGGCAGACACTGTCACCAATCCTTTGACTCCAAGGAGAACAGGACGCTTTCTGCTCAAAGTGTCCCAGACCACGGTCATGGGCCATAGAGTTGGCTTTAGAGTGGGCTCATCACCTTTTCTCACCTGCAAGGGCACACAACACAGGAAGCCTTCCCCAGTAAATAACTCTTCAAGTTTTCTCCCTGCTGCACTTGGGATAAACCCCCAATTCCTTACAGAGTCTGGCTTCTCCAGATCTCTCTGTCCTCACTTTCTCTTCCCTCTTACTCCCCACCGGCCTCACTGGCCTCCTTGCTGTTTCTCGAATTCACCAAGCACATTCCCACCTCAGGGTTTTGGTGTTTGCTGTTGCCTCTTCGCCCTGAGACTTTCGTGGCACGTTCCTTCACTTCATTCCCAGCCCTGTTCAAATGCCATCTCCTCTGGGAAGCCATCCAGGACGACACTTACCAAGGATCCCTTGCCCTACCCTCTTTCCATCTGTGACTCTGCCTTATTTTTATTTATCACTGACATTATCTCATATATTTGTTTGATTTTTGTCTGTCCCCATCACGAGACCATAAGCTCCAATAAGGCAGAGATGTTTGTTCTGCTCGCTGTTGAATTCTCAGCACAGACAGTAGGTGTTCAATATATATTTACTGAGTTAATGAATATACTCATTATATTCATTATGAATATAAAGTATGGCAGGTATTATCAATCACCCTTTTTCCCATCAATGGGGAAACTGAAGCTCAATAAATTGATGTGACTCATTCAAGTCCACATAATGAGGGAGTGCTGGGATCTGGATTTGAAGCAGGATTTCTGGAAGCTGAAATGTGGGAGCTGTGTCCACAGTGGCACCTTGAGTTTCCTAAGCCTGGGGAGACTTTTTAATCAGACATCACCCAAGATCAGTAAGTCAGCAGTTGTGGGTTCTGCAGGAGAGGGAGCAAAGATCCAGTGCAGAGATCCTCAAGGGGGCAATGTCACCAAGAGTGTTGGAGAGTTCCCAGTGACCAGGGGGTGCCCCGGCCATGCAGGAGGGGAGCAAGGGTGCAGACATCCTGCAGTGCATCTCAAGTCATGATTTTCAAATCTCCCTTTGGTAATTAGTGTAGGTAAAAACCTTGTTTTTAATTATCTGAGCCAAGGACCGAATTCTATTTTACATATAAACACAATGTGTGGGGGTTTTCATTTTGTTTTTTATGTTTAATAGACTACTTTTTTAGAGAAGTTTTAGACTTAGAGCAAAACTGTGCAGAGACTGGGCACACTGGCTCACGCCTGTAATCCCAGTGCTTTGGGAGGCCGAGATGGGGAGATTGCTTGAGGCCAAGAGTTTGAGACCAGCCTGAGCAAGATAGCAAGAACCTGTCTCCACAATTTTTTTTTTTAATTTCCCTAGCATGGTGGCACATGTGTGTGGTCCTAGCTACTTGGGAGGCTGAGGCTAAAGGATTGCTTGAACCTAGGAGTTTGAGGCTGCAGTGGACTCTAATCGTGCCACTGTACTTTAGCCTGGGGGACAGAGCAAGACCCTCTCTCAGAAAAGAAAAAGAAAAATGACACAGAAATCATAGACAGTTCCCTTGTACTCCTTCTCCAAACATGCAGTTTCTCCTGTTATTAACATTTTGCATTAGTGCAAATGCATGGTGCATCTGTTACAATTGATAAACCAATTTTGACACACAATTATTAACTGAAATCCACAGTTACCTTACAGTTCACTCTTTGTGTTGCACAGTTCTACCATGCTGGGGATTTTTTGTTTTTTTTTGTTTTTTTGTTTGCTTGTTTTTTGTTTTTGAGACAGAGTCTCGCTCTGTCACCCAGGCTGGAGTGCAGTGGCACGATCTCGGCTCACTGCACCCTCCACCTCCCGGGTTCAAGAAATTCTCCTGCCTCAGCCTCCCGAGTAGCTGGGACTACAGGCACATGCCGCCACGCGCAGCTAATTTTCTGTGTTTTTTAGTAGAGACGGGGTTTCTGGATTTGAAGCAGGATTTCTGTAGCGCCAGGCTGGTTGCAAACTCCTGAGCTCAGGCAATCCGCCCGCCTCGGCCTCCCAAAGTGCTGGGATTACAGGCGTGAGCCACCGCGCCCGGCCCATGCTGGGTTTTGACAAGTACATACATCCTTTATCTACCATTACAGCATCATACAGAAGAGGTCCCCTGCCCTAAAAATGCCCTGTGCTCCACCTGTGCATCCCTCTCTCCCCTCCCCTGAGCCCTGGCAACCACTGATCTTTTCATTGTCTCTATAGTTTTGCCTTTTCCAGTACAATGTGTGTTTGCTTGGTTTTAATAACAGCGACTCTGCCAGGAAAGCAACCTTCACATAAATTGGTGTCTTAGTCAGTTCAGGCCACTGTAACAAATTACACAGACTGGTGGCTTATAAGCAACAGAAATTTATTTCTTACAGATCCGAAGCCTGGCAAGTCCAACATCCAGGAGCTGGCAGATTCCATGTCTGGTGAAGACCGCTTCCTGGTTCATAGATGGCTTCTCACCGTGTCCTCACATGGTAGAAGGGGCAGCAGAGCTCTCTGGGGCCTCTTTTATAAGGGCACTAATCCCACTCATGAGGGCTCTGCACTCATAACCTAATCACCTCCAAAAGGCCCCATCTCCTAATACCATCACGCTGGGGATTAGGCTTTGACGTAAGATTTTGGGGGAGACAAACATTTAGTCTGTAGCGATTGGGAACAGAATGGATTGTGTTTGGTTCAGAACTTTACCTAGACTGCTCACATTTCAGACTATCACAGCCATGCAGTCACAGTGCATGTGCCGCCAGTGCGGCGTTACCAATTCAGCCTGCAGATTCTCAATGATTCCACCCAGAGCAGAGCCCACCCAACTACTTTGTGATGGTTTCTACACATTGTCCTGGAACATTTACATATTAATTTATTCTAAATTATTTTCACTTTATTTTCTTTTAAATTACAACTAGGACATTATTTATGTTTAAAACTATGCATGGCCGGGCGCGGTGGCTCACTCCTGTAATCCCAGCACTTTGGGAGGCCAAGGCGGAAGGATCACGAGGTCAAGAGATCGAGACCATCCTGGCCAACATGGTGAAACCCTGTCTCTACTAAAAATACAAAAATTAGCTGGGCATGGTGGCATGCGCCTGTAATCTTACCTATTCGGGAGGCTGAGGCAGGATAATCACTTGAACCCAGGAGGCGGAGGTTGCAGTGAGCCGAGATTGTGCCGCTGCACTCCAGCCTGGATGACAGAGTGAGACTCGGTCTCAAAAAAAAAAAATTATGTGCGTCAGCAGGTTATGTTATTCATGTATTTTATTTTAGAAAAGAAGCATTATAACTACTATTAAAGGGAGCCTTGGGCCTGTAGGGTTTCAAGCCACAGTCCAATGGCATGATAATCACAGCAACAGCAAACAATGATGGGTGCCAGCCACTCCAAAGGCTTGTAAATGACTCACATACACAAATCATTACATCTGTACAGTTCCCCTACCTTGTAACAGTGCTACAAGGGTATGCACTGTTAGCCCCATTTTGCAGAGGAGAAAACCAAGGTTCAGACAGAATAAGGCCCCTTGGTGGCGCTGGAAATAGAATCCAAGCAGCCCATACCCCTAACCACTGAACTAACCGATCCTGGATTCCCTGGGCTTGAAACACAGTGTTGGGTGAGTTGAGCATCCCCAGGACTGACGAGCCCAGGAAAGGTATGGGAGGCAAATGATGAAGCAGAAAGGTCAACAGCCCAGGCTCTAGCCTGGGTGCTAGTCTTGGCTGTGTCTTTACTCCTGTATGACCCTAAAGAGCCACTTCCCTTCACTGAGGCTCAGTTGTCTCATCTGTTTTCTTTTGGGTTTTTTTGTTGTGGTGGTGGTGGTGGTTTTGTTTTTGTTTTTGTTTTTTGAGACAAAGTCTCAATCTGTCTCCCAGGCTGGAGTATAGTGGTGGATCTCAGCTCACTGTAACCTCCACCTCCTGGGCTCAAGTGATCCTCCTACCTCAGTCTCCCAAGTAGCTGGGACTACAGGCGCATGCCACCACACACAGCTAATCTTTGTATTTTCTGTAGATTCAGAGTTTTGCCATGTTGCCCAGGCTGGTCTCAAATGTGTGGGCTCAAGCGATCTGCCTGCCTCAGCCTCCCACAGTGCTGGGATTACAGGCATGAGCTACTGTACCTGGCCTAGTTGTCTCATCTGTAAGAAGGGGGTGATGTCGCCTAAGTGGGTACTGTCCCTCTTCATGTTACAAGTGTGAGAACTATGACTCAGAGAGAAGAGACCTGCAGGGTTACGTGAGGATGGTGGGATGATCCTCTAAGGACATGCTCCACCTGCCCAGCAAGGTACCCATGGCTCCTTCAAAGCCCAATCTGAGACTCACGCATCACCAGACAAAAGTCAGAGGTCACCTGTCCTGGCCACTCGTCCCCCAATGCAACCACCCACAAGTGACCCCCACAGTGCAGAAGTATCTAAAAGCTTCCATTGGGCTGGGAGAGCTGGAGCGCTATCCTTGGAAGCACTGGGCCTCAGTTTCCCTGTGGTGAACTCCAGCTCCAAAATATGTCCCAAGTCAATCCACCTCTCTTTATCTGCACTGCTTCCATCTTAGCCCATGCCACATCACCTCTCTCCTGGCCCACCCACTGCCTCCCCTGCCCCCACACCTCCACTCCTCTCCTGCTTCCTCTCCTCCCACACCTCCACTCCTACCCCTGCCTCCTGTCCTCCCTGCTCCTGGCCCAGCAGCCAAAGAGGTCTTTTATAAATAAAAAAAATTTTTTTTGTTGTTGTTGAGACAGGATCTCACTTTGTCATTGAGGCTAGAGCACAGTGGGGTGATCTCGGCTCACTGCAGCCTCAACTCCTTGGGTTCATGCAATCCTCCTGCCTCAGCCCCCAAGTAGCTGGGAATACAGGTGCATGATGCCACGCCCTGCTAATTTTTGTATTTTATATATATATATATATATTTTTTTTTTTTTGAGACGGAGTCTCGCTCTGTCACCCAGGCTGGAGTGCAGTGGCATGATCTCAGCTCACTTCAAGTTCCATCTCCCAGTTCACACCATTCTCCTGCCTCAGCCTCCCGAGTAGCTGGGACTACAGGCGCCTGCCACCACGCCCGGCTAATTTTTCTGTATTTTTAGTAGAGATGGGGTTTCACCATCTAGCCAGGGGTTTCACTACTAGCCAGGATGGTCTCCATCTCCTGACCTCATAATCTGCCCTCCTCAGCCTCCCAAAGTGCTGGGATTACAGGCATGAGCCACCACGCCCAGCCTAATTTTTGTATATTTTTTTACAGATGGGGTTTCCCCATGTTGAACTCCTGAGCTCAAGCAATCCGCCCATCTCAGCCTTCCAAAGTGCTGGGACTACAGGCGTGAGCCACCGCACCTGGCTGATAAATGTAAAACCTTACGAAATCATTCCCCTGCTTAAACCCTATTGTTCTTAAATCAGATTCCTCTACAGGGTGTAGTGGATCCTGCCAACCTCTCCCATCTCATTTCCCACTATGTTCCCTCCCACCCTCCACCCTCTCCATATACGTCTGGACCACATTGGCCTCCTTGATATGCCATTAACAGGCATGTTCCTATCTTAGGACCTTTGCCCATGCTGTTTCTCCTCTTCAGTCAGCCCCATGGGCCACCCCTCCTGACCTTCCTTGGGTAAACTCTTCTTCCCGCCCTCCACTAGGTCGGCTTTACTCTCATGCACTCTCATACCCCGCCCACTTGTCTCTCCTGGCGATAATCCCAGTTTGCAATGCTAGATTTGTCTGCTTATCTTCTCCCCACTTGACTGAGCTCCACCAGGCCAGGAATACTGACTTGTTTCCCGCTGTGTACTGAGAACCTGAGAAAGTGTCTGCCCCAGAGTATGTGCTGAGAATGACCTGCTGAAAGCCAGACTGCAGGCATGAACCAATGGCCACCCAAAGGAGACTGATGGTACATCTCCTTCATCGTGCACACTAAGACATCAAAGACAGCTTGAAGGCAAGGAAGAAGCTAGGTTTTTATGTTGTTGTTGTTTTATTTTATTTTATTTAGTATTCTTCGGAGGCATAGAATGAAAGGCAGAGAGAACCCCAGGTACAATTTAATTCACTTGTTAGCAGAGGCTACATGTGCCAAATGCTATGCTACACCCTGGGGACAGCCTGTGTATACTGGGTTGGTGAGAGAATAAGCTTTGAGCCACACTGCCTGGATGCAGAGACCAACTCATTATTCACTAGCTGTGCAAGCTTGGGTAAGTCACTAAACCTCTCTGAACCTTGGTGTTTCCTTGTCCTCACTTCCTTCTTTGTGGATTACAGCCATGATATAACTTTATCCCCACTGTGCTGCATACTCCCAAGATCCCCCTGACCCTCTCTGACTAAACACCTGTTAGTTGGTGCCAACTCCACATCCCTCTGTGTTTGTCCCCCTGCAGTGGAATGTGGCTGGAGAAAAACACACCACCATGTAGACTGGCCTCACTTTACTTGAATGATGATAGCTTCAGTGGTGTCTTTTGTTCTGCCTGACAATCACAGTAGATCCATTCATTTTCCCTACACACTTCCTTCCTATCTTTTCAAACCTCCATCACCTTCTCCCCCATTCTCACTCTTAGCCAAGGACCTTGCTTCCTATTTCACAGGGAAAATGGTAGCAATCAGAAAGCATTTCCACACATTTCCACTGCACAGCTACCTACCTACCAATCTGGTACCCAAATACTCTGCCCTCCCTTCTGTGACCATGGATGAGCCATCTGTGCTCCAAGGTCAAAGCCCCCATTTGTATACTAGATCCCATCCTTCTCTCCAGAGACACCATTCTAGCCACTCTCTTCTCTCTCTCTGTCTGCATTATTACTTTTTTTTCCAATCTACTGAATCTCTCTCATCAGCATAAAAACATGCTACAATTTCTGCCTTTGAACAACTTATCTTGACCCCATTTTGCTCTCCACCTGCCACCTGTCCTCAGTTCTATAGCAAAACTCCTCAAAAAGTTACCTGGACTCACTGCCTCCATGTCTCTACTTCCTTTCCTTCTATTCTCTCTTGTTAGAATTTATTTTGACATAATGTCACTTACAGAAAAGTTACAAAGTAGTACAAAGAACACTCAAATCTCACCAGCCACAATGGCTAACACCTAAAATCTCAGCATTTTGGAAGGCTGAGATGGGAGGATTGCTTGAGCCTAGAATTTGAGACCAGCCTGGGCAACACAGGGAGACCCCATCTCTAAAAAATATTTAAAAATGAGTCAGGTGTGGTGGTGCGCAACTGTGGTCCCAGCTACTCAGGAGGTTGAGGTGGGAGCATTGCTTGAGCCTGGGAGGTTGAGGCTGCAGTGAGCTATGATCACACCACTGCACTCCAGCCTGGGTAACAGAGTGAGACCCTGTCTCAAAAACAAAAACAGAATAGCCAAATACCCATTACCCAGATTTTACCATCTTTGCTTTATCATTTATTTTTCTTTCCTCCAACCCTGAACTCTTTTATGGTAAGTTACAGGCCTAAAAACCAGTACACATTTCCTAAAAGGAAGGACATTCTCTTATAATAACCAAAATCGGGACGTTTTACACTGATGCAAAACCATTATCTAATCTACAGATCTTATTCAAATTTCACCACTCATCTAGTTAATATATTTTGTAGTAAGTGAAAATGATTTTTTCTTAATCTAGGATCTCACATTGCATTCAGTAGTTGTAATTACTTTATTCTCCTTCATCTAAAACTATTCCTCAGTCTTCCTTTGTCTTTTACCACTTCAACATTTTTAAAGAGTAAGGTTCTCTTGCAAAGATATCCTCACTTTGGACATTTTTTTTTTTTTAGACGGAGTCTTGCTCTGTTGCCCAGGCTAGAGTGCAGTGGTGCAATCTCGGCTCACTGCAACCTCTGCCTCCTGGGTTCAAGCGATTTTCTTGCCTCAGCCTCCTGAGTAGTTGGGACTACAGGCGCACGCCACCATGCCCAGCTAATTTTTGTATTTTTAGTAGAAACAGGGTTTCACCATGTTGGTCAGGCTTGTCTCGAACTCCTGACCTCGTGATCTGCCCACCTCAGCCTCCCAAAGTGCTGGGATTACAGGTGTGAGTCACTGTGCCTGGCCACTTTGGGCTTTTCTAATGCTTCCTCATGAGTCAATTATGCCTCTTTGGCAGAAATATCACTGACGTGACGCGACGTCCCACTCAGTGCATCATCCCGGAAGCCACATGATGTCAATTTGCCCTGCTACTGGTGATGTTCACTTTATCACTTGGTCAAGTGGTGTTGGCTGTGTTTCTCCATGTAAAGTTACTATTTTACCCTTTGTAATTAATAAGTATCTTGGGGGGAGATATTCTCAGACTGTGCAAATGCCCTATTTCTCATCAAACTTTAATCCACTACTGCAGTGTCCATTAATGATTGTCTCCTATGGTGGTTGCCAACTCCTATTCTTCTACATTTAGTCATTTGCTTCCTACTTTTTTTTTTTTTTTTTTTTGAGACAGAGTTTCACTCTCATTGCCCGGGCTGGAGTGCAATGGCACTATCTCAGCTCACTGCAACCTCCACCTCCCAGGTTCAAGCAATTGTCCTAGCTCAGTCTCCTGAGGAGCTGGGATTACAGGCATGCACCACCACACCTGGCTAACTTTTTGTATTTTTAGTAGAGACTGGGTTTCACCATGTTGGCCCGGCTGGTCTCAAACTCCTGATCTCAGGTGATCCGCCTGCCTCGGCCTCCCAAAGTGCTGGGATTACAGGCATGAGCCACTGCGCCTGGCCCAGCTTTCTACTCTTAAAAAGAGCTCTCCAGGCCAGGTGTGGTGGCTCACACCTCTAATCCCAGCACTTTGGGAGGCTGAGGCAGGCAGATCACCTGATGTCAGGAGTTTGAGACTAGCCTGGCCAACATGGCAAAACCCCATCTCTACTAAAAATACAAAAATTAGCCAGACGTGGTGGCACGCACCTGTAATCCCAGCTACTCGGGAGGCTGAGGCAGGAGAATCGCTTGAACCTGGGAGGCGGAGGTTGCAGTGAGCTGAGATCACACCACTGCACTCCAACCTGGGCGACAGAGTGAGAACCCATCTCAAAAAGAAAAAAAAAAAAAGAGCCCTCCTTCCTTCCTTCCTTCCTTTTTTCCTTCCTTTCTATGTCTATATTTATATTTTCTCCTATTCTCTCTTAATCCCACTCCAATCAGACTTTTGTTCCCACCAACCTACCTACACTCTCTCCTGTCAAAACAATGTCCTCCACTTTGTAAATCAGCTCTTTGTTCTTTTCTTTTCTGACCCCTCAGCAGCATCTGACACAGGGGATCAGGGGATCAACACTCCTTCCATGAAACACGTTTTTCACTTGGTCCCCAGGACACTTACCCCACTGGCTGCTCCTTCTCAGGCTCCTTTGCTGGTTGCTTGTCTCTTACTGTTGGATGCCCCAGGGCGCAGTCCTTGGTCCTCCTTCTCTGTCTACACTCATTCCCTGGGCAATTTCACCCAGCCTTATGGCTATTTACTTATTTATTTATTTTTGAGACAGTTTCTTCCTTGTCGCCCAGGCTGGAGTGCAGTGGCTCGATCTCAGCTCACTGCAACCTCCGCCTCCCGGGTTCAAGCAATTCTCCTGCCTCAGCCTCCTGGGTAGCTGGGATTACAGGCACACACCGCCACACCCAGCTAATTTTTGTATTTTTAATAGAGACGGGGTTTTACCATGTTGGCCAGGCTGGTCTCAGACTCCTGACTTCAAGTGATCTGCCTACCTCAGCCTCCCAAAGTGCTGGGATTACAGGTGTGAGCCACCATGCCTGGCCCCTCATGGCTTTAAAAACCATTTCTCTGTTGATGACTCAGTAGTAGTCTGCTCAAACTACCATAACAAAATGCCACAGACTGAGAGGATTAAACAACAGAAATTTATTTTCTCACAGTTCAGCCTCTCACTGAGAGGCTGGAAATCTGAGATCAAGGTGCTGTCAGGGAGGGTTTCTGGTGAAGGCTCTCTGCCTGGCTTGTAAATGGCTGCCTTCTTGCTGTGTCCTCACACAGCATTTCCTCTGAGCACCTGCATGGGGAGAGAATGAGCTCTGATATCTCATCTTCCTGTAAGGACAATAGTCCTGTTGAATTAGGGCCCACTCTATGATCTCTTTTAACCTCCTTTAAAGACCCTGTCTCCAAATAGTGTCACATTGGGTGTTAGGGTTTCAATATATAAATTTGGGGAGGACAAAATTTAGTACATAGTAACTCCCAAAAATTACGTCTCCAGCTTGGACCTCTCTCCTGGGCTCAGATTCATACATCTAACTTCTGATTAGTCATCTGCACTTGGAAGTCTCATAGCTCACTTAAATTTAACAAGTCGCAAATGGAACTGCTAATTCCTCCTCTCTTTCTCCCCCTGCCCCAAGAAGTTCTCTTCTATAGCCTTCTTCATCTCAGTTACTGGCAAATTCCTTCTTTCAGTTCCTCAGGCCAGAAGCCTTGGAGTCATCCTCAATTCTTTTTTTCCTCAAACACCCCATACCACACCTATCAGTAAATTCTTTTGATTTTACTTTGAAAAGAACCTCGGAGTCCAACTTTGGTTCAAAGCAACACCATCTCTTGTCTGGCTTGTGGTAGTAGCTTCTTATCTTTTCTCCCTGCTTCAGCCCTCATTCCCGGTCCATCTAGTCCACACTTAGCAGCTGGACAAATCCTATAAAAATGCATAGCAGAGCCTGCTCTCCACCTGGTCAAAACCCTCCCATAGCTCCCCACCTCATTCAGAGCAGAAGCAAGTCCTCACGATAGCCCTACATGGCTGTGCACAATCCAGTACCTTGTGAACCTCTGAGACATTGTCCCCCTTCTGTCCAAACCTCCTGCATCAAACAGGCTGGTCCCAGAAGAACAAAAGACACATGCAGTAGACCTGAATTTGAGTCAACCCCAGCAGAGCCGAGACGAGATCAGCCACTCCCTCGGCTCAGCTGCCCTATCTACTGACCATTCCTGAAATTCACCAGGCATGAGCCTACTTCACGGTCTTTGCCCATCCGAATTCTCTCTGCTTGGGACAATCTTCTCCCACATACTTTCTGGCTCCCCGCCTCACTTCCTCTTGGATTTGGTCAAGTTTCACCTTCCGTTGAAGTTTTGTTGATGATCACATTTGAAATTTTACCTCAGCACTCCCTCTCCTTCCCTGCTTTATTTTCTTCCATAACACTCATCACCAGCTGCCATTCCATACATCTCTCCGCAGAACATAAGATCCTTGAGAACAGGGGCTTGTTTTGTTCACAGTTGCACCCCCAATAATAGTAGTTCTCATGCATTACACCCTTGCTATATGCCAGTGTATTTTTAAGGCGTTTCCTGTATTCATTTATTTAACCCTGAAAAAAGCCCTATGATGTGAATCTGTTAGTTGGCTATTCCTATAATAATGTTGCATATCAAACTGCCCCAAGACTCTGTGCTGACAGAAGCAAACATTGATTTCTCCCTCTCTCATATGTAGTCATTTGGGTTTGGCTGATCTTGGCTGGGTTCTGCTGGGGTTGACTCAATTTCAGATCTACTATGTGTGTCCTTTATTCTTCTAGGACTAGCCTGTTTGATGCTGGAGGATTGGACAGAAGCTACTGCTTTCCCAAATTGAGACAGAGCATTCTCTTCCCACCTCTTTAGCTTCCGCTCATTCAAAAATATGGAGTTCACGAAAAACTATAAATTATAATTTAATTAATGCAAACTAAAACTAAAGAGTAAAGAACTATTCTTATCTCAGACTTGCCTACTACAGCCTTGATTGGAAGTCTGTTTCAAAAGATGTAAGGCACCAATGACAGCTCGCCCTTCAAGGAAGAGGTGAAAATTCTAAGACAGCCAATTGAAAACAAGAGAGACCTCTTAAGGCCTAGGCTGGAATTTGCACATTGTAACTGATATGTATATTCCACTAGCCAAAGCAAACCATATGGCCAAGCCTAATATTAATGGGGCAGGAAAATATTAATTGCCCCTGGCTGGGTGAGAAAGTGAACAGTCACTGAACAGTAATCTAATTTGCCACAAAATATGTAATGCTATATCCTTTTCTTTCTTTTCTCTTTTTCTTTCTCTCTCTCTCTTCCTTTTTCTTTCTTTCTTTCTTTCTTTCTTTCTTTATTTCTTTCTTTCTTTCCTTTGAGACAGAGTTTTGCTCTGTCACTCAGCTGGAGTGCAGTGGCACAATCTCGGCTCACTGCAACCTCCACTTTCCAGGTTCAAGCAATTCTCCCTGCCTCAGCCTCCCGAGTAGCTGGGATTACAGCCATGTGCCACCATGCCCGGCTAATTTTTGTATTTTTACTAGAGACAGGGTTTCTCTGTGTTGGCCAGGCTGGTCTCAAACTCCTGACCTCAGGTGATCCACCCACCTCAGCCTCCCAAAGTGCTGGAATTACAGGCATGAGCCACCACACCTGGTCTTTTCTTTCATTTTTTTAAAAAAAGATGTGGAAATTGAGGCTCAGAGAGATCTAATAACTTATCCAACTATATGCTGCTAGTAAGTGACAGAGCTGGAATCCAACCAAGTTGGAGTCAAACTTACAAACACCCAATGTACAAGGCCAAAGGGTTTGGACTTTCTGTGTAGACAATGCAATACCATTGAAAACTCTTAGACAAAAATGGAACATGATGGTTAATGAGCTTTCCCCCAGCAGCAGGCAGGATGAACTACAGAGGGAGAGAGGAGGGGCCCTCAAGGTAGCCACAAAACTTCGGGTCAGAATTGATAAGGGGTTGGGCTGGGGTGGTATCAAAAAAGAAAACAAAAAACAATAAAAATAAAACCAAATAGAAAAAGACATAGGTGGGAGCCAAGTTGAAGGACATTTTAAAAGCATTTTCTTCTTTATAAGGTATTGAAATAAAAATTTATGATTGCTATAAAAAAATTCAAAGAAGGCCAGGCTTTGTGCCTGTAATTCCAGCACTTTGCGAGGCCAAGGCGGGAGGATCACTTGAACCCAGGAGTTTGTGACCAGCATGGCCAGCATGGGGAGACCCTATCTCTACAAAACATAAAAATAAATTAGCCAGGCATGATGGCACACACTTGTGGTCTCAACTACTTGGGAGACTGAGGTGCAAGGACTACTTGAGCCCTGGAGGTTGAGGCTGCAGCAAGCTGTGACCATTGCCACTGCACTTCAGCCTGGGCAACAGAGCAAGAATCTGTCTCAAAAAAAAAAAAAAAAAAAAAAAAATATTCAAGCAACACAAACAGAGGTGTTTAAATAAAAGTTTTCTCCTTTTCTCCTCTTCAAAGATAAGCTCCATTAATAGTTTGTAGTAAATTCTTCCTGAATTTATCTAAAACTATAAGACATATAGATCTACTAATTTATTGTATTTATTTATTTTTTTTGAGACAGAGTCGCGCTCTGTTGCCCAGGCTGGAGTGCAGTGGTGCAATCTCAGCTCACTGCAAGCTCTGCCTCCCGGGTTCACGCCATTCTCCTGCCTCAGCCTCCTGAGTAGCTGGGACTACAGGCACCCACCACCATGCCCGGCTAATTTTTGTATTTTTAGTAGAGACAAGTTTTCACCGTGTTAGCCAGGGTGGTCTCGATCTCCTGACCTTGTGATCCACCCGCCTTGGCCTCCCAAAGTGCTGGGATTACAGGCATCAGCCACCGCGCCCGGCCTACTAATTTTTATAAGACATAAAAATTTTTATTCTACTAATTTTTATAAGACATACATCTCCAGCTGAACGCAGTGGCTCATGCCTGTAATCCCAGGACTTTGGGAGGCCAAGACAGGCAATCACCTGAGGTCAGGAGTTCAAGACCAGCCTGGCCAACATGGTGAAATCCCATCTCTACTAAAAATACAAAAATTAGCTGGGCATGGTGGGCACCTGTAATCCCAGCTACTCGGGAGGTTGAGGCAGGAGAATCGCTTGAACCCAGAAGGCGGAGGTTGCAGTGAGCCAAGATGGCATCATTGGACTCCACCCTGGGCAACAAGAGTGAAACTCCATCTCAGAAAAAAAAAAGACACACATCTCCTAATTATTTAAATGTGCTTTTTAAATGTTTTCTGATCAAACTACTGTTTGTCTCTTGCTTTGTATCGTATAACAGAATGTCAGGGCCAGATTTCTATGTCAGGACATAATACTGTCTTCATTCTTTTCAATGGCTTTGTCACTTGCTGTGTGACATTGGACTAGTTGTTTAACCTCTCTGAGACTTGGTGTTCTTAATCTCTAAAATGGGGATTAAAAATGTACTGGCCACAGAGAGCTGTTGTGAGGATTAAATGAGTTAATAGATGTAAAGCATCTTGTACAGTGTCTGACACATATTAAGTGCTCAAAAATGTTAGTTCTCATTGCTGTGAATAGCCCCATGTCTGGCTGTACCATAATTTCTTTAACCAGTTCCATGCCTACGATTACTTATGTGATATAATGTTTGCAAAGGTGGCCACAACAATTCCACCCTCCTTATACACATGACTCCTTGCAGTATGATTTGATGTTTTTCTCATGAAGAGATGGAATCTATTTCTACTCTCCTTGAATCTGAGCTGGCCATATGACTGCCTTTGATCGATATAATACAGTGAAAATGATGCTATATCATTTCTAAGCCTAGATCTGAAGAGATCTTGCTGCTTTTGTTTTCTTTCTTCTGGGGGCCGTCATGTAAGTAAGCCTGAGTTAGCTTACTGAAGAAGCAACATGGAGGAGAACCAAGGCACTCAAGCCAACAACCCCAACCAACTGCCAGACATGTGAATGAGGCCATGGAGTTCTAACCAGTTTGCTGGCCTGTTCACTGACAGCAAACGTAAGAGTAAGCCAGGAAAGACCACTTGGAGCAGAAAAGAGCTGTCCTGGCTGAGACATGTCCAAACTGCCAATCCACACAAACATAAAATATTGTTGTTTTAAGCCACTATATTGTGGGGTGATTTTGTTAAGCAGCAATAGAAAGCAAATACACTTAGGTTCTTAGTGCATGATTAAAACTTTTGCCTGTAATTCTAGCACTTTGGGAGGCCAAGGCAGGGGAACTGCTTGAGCCTAGGAGTTCAAGACCAGCCCTGGCAACATAGCAAGACCCCATCTGTACAATAATAATAATAGTAATAATAATACTACTAAATTAAAAATGAGCCAGGCATGGTGGTGCATGTCTGTAGTCCTAGCTACTCAGGAGGCTAAGGTGGGAGGATCGCTTAAGCACAGGAGTTCAAGGTTATAATGAGCTGTGATCATGCCACTGCACTCCAGCCTGGACAACAGAGCAAGATCCTGTCTCAAAAGAGAGAGAGAGAGAGAGAGTCACTCTAATGGCCCAGGTTGAAATGCAAGCTCCATCTCCGGCATGTGACCTTGGGCATGGCCTGTGATCTCTGTGAACCTGAGTCTCCTCATCTGTACGGTGAGATACTTTTGGTTTCTACCTCATCAGGTTGACATGAGGATTAAGTGAGATGATGAACATTCAGTGTGTGGCACAGTGCAAGTACTCTCAACATCTTAACTCTTGCTTCTGCTGCTGTTGTTTGCAGAAAGACTAGCCTGAGAGGTGTGATGTGGGGGATCAGAGACAGTAAGAGTTAAGGATAAATGTTAAGTCTACAACTAGGTGAACACTTGGGATGGGAAGCCTCTTGAGACCGGAGACCTACATGAGGCTGGCGTAGTAGACGGCAGGAGTTGGGTTTCAATTATGTCCTGCATGAGTATGAGGGTTGTATATGTGTGCCCAGGTGAGCCCTCTGAATGAAGTCATGGATAGAGGCCAGAACTAGGAAGAAGAATGAAGAACTAATGCTGTGAGAGAGGCTGAGATTGGAAAGGCATGAAGGCTAAGCAATGGGAAATATCCTCACTACACTCAGATGAAAACCCAGCTTCCTTATCATGACCTGAATGCCCTGCCCACCTCTCCCACCATATTTCTTCCTCTTCTTCCCTTTATTTGCAGTGCTTCAGCCACCATGGCCTCCTTCTTCAAACTTGTGATGCTCTTTCCTGCCTTGGGACGTTTGCACTTACTGTTTCCTTCTCAAAGGGACCTTCTGAACCACTCAAGCTAAAGCTCTATACTTCACAGCTACTTATCTTTTCCTTTCGTAGCACTTATTGCTACCTGAAATTACTTTGTTTATGCATTTGTTTACCTGTGCATTACTTGCTTCTCACTTTAGAAGGTAAGCTCCACCAGTGAGCAACTGGTGTATGTCTTCCTCATAACACATCCCCAGTACCTAGCACAGTGTCTGGCTCATAGCAAATGATGAATTGTTGTGAGTTAAACAAATGTGAATACAGTTGGGAAAAACAAAGCCACAAGAGCCAAAAAGATACGTTCGAGAGGTAGGTAGAAGGGTATCATTTCCTGGAAGATGGCTTCCCAGAAACTTTGGGATTATCTTGTATAACCTCCTCAGTCCACAAGTGGGGAAATTGAGGCCCAGTTACAGGACACTGAGAGAAAAACTGTTGTGGGTTCCCAGGCAATTGGGATCAGATGTCACAAGCTGTCTAGCAGATGAGGTCCAGAGAAGGCCACAGCCACCTCCCTGAGGCCATCACTATAAGTCTGCAGCCACCACCAGCCCTAACCCCACATGGGGAAGAGGTGCCTCTTTGGGAGCAGAGGTGCTAGTCAGCTGACAAACTGTGAAGGCAGGGCTGTGGAGGGTGGAGAGGCCCATTCCTGAGACAACCAGCTATTCTGAGACAGTTAGGGATAATGGTTGGTACTGAAAGAACCTGGCCTCCTCACCCTCGTTCCAGTGCTCACACCTCTGTCCCACCAGAGGTGAGACTAATACTTGAACTCCTTTCAGCAACTCTTAGACGCTTCAGCTTTTATCAGGGCCTGCAAAGGAGAGGTTGATCATCAGATGGAGCCCTGTCCACTGGGGGCTCCCAGTCTGATGGAGGAGACAGACTGAGGTCCTCAGGTTACTGACTGATAGTGTCTGGGTTGGAGGGAGTTAAACAGAGAGGAGACCCCTAGAGGAAAGGATCCCTGAATTAGTTCAATCGGCATACAGAAATTATCCAGTCCATGAGGTGACAGTAAGAGAAGTAACTGCCAGTGTAAAGGGAGGGAGGCAACACAGCTAAGTTCCAGGAATTGTTTGCAGTCTTGTGGGTGGAATCTTCCGGAATTTGAGAAGAGAGTGGCAGAATAGGAGGCTGGAAAGGAGGGTTTGGCCAAATTATGGAGGACTCTGAATGTCAAGTGAAGAGTTTGGGCTATCTTTGGTGCATAAAGAGGTCCATGGGAGATTTTTGACCATAGGGAGACCATGATGAGCTCTGCATGGTAGAAAGTGCTTTGTGGCTGTTTTGGGGAGGTAGCTCGGGCAAGGAGAGCAGGGGTGGGAGGCAGATAGAAGGAAAAAAAAACACTGTATTTTGGACGCACAGCTCTTGGCAGGACTCCTGTAGGAGGAAGGAATTGGGCCTTGGTCTCTTGAGAGCTAGTATCCTCACTTCTCAGACTCCTGCGCCATGCCCTTCCTAGGGTCCAACTTTCATTCACTTCTTCCGAACTCCAAGTTTGAATAGAAAGTGTTGCTGAAACCCTAATTTAAAACGAGGGGTCAGAGCAAAAGAGACTTCAGCTCCCAGAATGCTTGGCTCTACAGCTCTGCAGGTCGCGCATGGTTCTTTTCAAGAAAGGGGGGCCAGCTGGGTGAAGTGTGGGAAACCTGGGTACCGCCATCTTAACTTGGGTCAAACCAACTGTTCACCTAATGGGAGGTTCGTGTTCTCTCTGTTGTCACTTGTTAACACTATTGAAATAAAATGCGCTTAACTATTGCAAGTCTCCTTATTCTGCTTTGCGTTGGGGATTCCTTCCATTTTGCACCCTAGGCCAGAACTGAATCCCTAAGGTTACAATAGGACATCCCAGCATGGCCGCATTCAGAGAGATTCCTCTGGGGGCGGAGTCGGAAGCTGTCTCGCCCCGCCTCCTGGTAGGAGGGGGTTTCCGCTTCCGGCAGCAGCGGCTGCAGCCTCGCTCTGGTCCCTGCGGCTGGCGGCCGAGCCGTGTGTCTCCTCCTCCATCGCCGCCATATTGTCTGTGTGAGCAGAGGGGAGAGCGGCCGCCGCCGCTGCCGCTTCCACCACAGGTACCTAGGGAGCAGCCAGGCGAGGTCGTTGGCGGGTGGGGTGGGCCCAGGATAGGGCAGCGGAGCGCGGCCGACCCTCACGCTTCCAGCAGACTCCTGAGCGGCCCGTCGCCTTCCCCTGCCCCCACCTTCACACATAAACCAAGCGAGGCCCCTGCAGCCCATCGGGGAGGCCCAGGGGCCACCCCTCAGGGCGGAGGGCGAGGTTTGGGGGCAGAGGCCGATGTGAGGGTGGGAACCGGCTGCCGGAGTCCAGCTTATTGCAGAGGAGAGGACTGAACTGGGTGGGGACTAGGGGACAACTTGGAGGAGGGGGTCGTCAGAGGGGGAAGGGAACTTGAGGGGTGGGGCCGCAGGGGGGTGCTGGGGGAGGGTGCGGAGGGAGTGGTGCCTGCTGGGTAGTGTGCAGTGAACCCTCCCGCGAAACTGGGCAGCTGGAGTAGGGGCCTTCTTAGGGTCCCTCTGGGCGGGGCTGAGCTTCCCACCTGCAGAGTGGGTGCGAGGTGGAGAGAACCCCAGGCGGGGTTGCTGGGGCGAAAGGGGGAAGGGACCAAGACGTGGGGCAGAACGTCTGGAGTTGGAGTTAAGGACTAGTTAGGAGCCTGGATAGAAAAAGAGGTATGGAGAGAAAGCTTGGCTAAGGGTATACATATGTTGGTGACCTTTTGAAAGAGTAGGACTTTTCAATTTTGTTTTTCGTTGTGTGTTTTTTGCAGTGTTGGAACATTGCTAGATTAAGCAGGTGATGGGTGGAGCTTCTGTAGTTTGTTTTGGGGAAGCAGAGTCAGGGTCAGGAGAAGTTGCATCTTGGCTATTGCTTTGTGTGGAGGAAAGAGTTTTGAAAAGAAGGTGGCAAATTATTTGGGAAGACTTGATTACTTTTCAGCTGTTTAATTCTACGAGAATGGGACATGGGGAGAGGAAATGAAAACTAAGAAGAGAGGCCGGGCGTGTGGCTCACGCCTGTAATCCCAGCACTCTGGGAGGCCGAGGCGGGTGGATCACGAGGTCAGGAGTTCGAGACCAGCCTGACCAACACGGTGAAACCCCGTCTGTACTAAAAATGCAAATATCAGCCGGGCTTGGTGGCGCGCGCCTGTAATCCCAGCTACTCGGGAGGCTAAGGCAGGAGAATCGCTTGAACCTGGGAGGCGGAGGTGGCAGTGAGCTGAGATCCGCCACTGCACTCCAGCCTGGGCGACAGAGCGAGACTCCGCCTCAAAAAGAAAAAAGAAAACTAAGAAGGGAAGATTTTTCCAAGAATTGGAGACTTCATTCCATCTGAGGAGTGCAGTGTAGGCCCAGTGGTTAAAAACCAGACTGCCTAGGTTCTCAAATATCAGGGCCATTGCTACTTAGCTGTGTGACCTAAACTCTCTAAGCCTCAGTTTTCCCGTCTGTAAAAGGGGGATGATGGTATTTTCTAGCTTGTGAGTTTACGGAGAAGAGTAAATAAGACAATTTGTGTCAAGTGCTTACTACAGTGTCTGGCAGGTAGTAAGTGTAGTAAGTAGCTTTTACCTGTCACTGTAAAGGGACTAGCTGGTATATTTGGGGCTCTTCTGTTCTAAGTAAAATTTATAGTCAAGAATTTGACTGTAGACAGGGCTTTAGAGTAGTATCTTTGTAGTTGTTGTAGGGTTTTGTTGTAAGTCATTTGGCTTTACTGGCTTGGTGGACCTGGGGCTGAAAGTCCAGTACCAATACTAGTTCTCCTCCGTGGTATTCTCAAAAGTTCACCTGCAGTCTTAGCAGGGCATGTTTTTGTCCTTCTGTGACTTTGAAATACTTGGCTTTGGTTTGCTATTGCGGGAGGGTGTATGACTTGAAGAAAGAATGCAAGATTGGAAATTTGCTTAGATTGATTAATCAACTGATTATACAGTTAGGTCCCCGTGAGGTGACTTTTCTTTAAAAATAAAAAAAAGCCTAGTTATGTACTCCTTTGTGGAATACAGAGAAGAGAAATACACATTTAAGGAGGAGCATGGGTTAGTTTCTAAGTAGTTATGGGTGAAGTGCCTTGCAATTTGAGGATGAAACAGGTGGCAACTCCTTTTCCATACTGCGCGTCCTTTTCCTACTCACTCATCCAGAGTGAGTCCTTGTTTTTACTATTGTCTCTATCTCTGAACATACATCTTTGTGTCACATAAGTAAAGACATATGTATGTATGTATATATACTTTACTTCACATAAGTAAAATATATACATCTTTACTTCACACTCTGTTAAAGAAAGGGATGATTTTCTTTAGGAAGTGAGTTTAAACCCTTCCATAGGACTTGGATTTGTAGTAGGCAGAATTACATCTCCCTCTTCCCAAGGTGCCATACCTTGATCCCCAGAATCTGTAGCTATCCTGTGTTACATGGCAAAAGGAACTTGGCAGGTGTAATTAAGGTTAAGAATCTTAAAATAGAAAAATTATCCTGGATTTTCTGGGTGGGCCGAATCTAGTCACTTAAGTCCTTAAAAGCAGAGAACTTTCTCCAACTGGGATCAGAGAAATGGGCAGAAAAGGAAATCAGAGATTTGAAGCATGAGAAGGACTCCATTTGCCTTTGCTAGAGAGGACCACATGGAAAGTTTATCAGAAGGAATGTGGGCAGCCTCTAGTGGCAAAGACCAGTCCCTGGCTGACAACCAGAAAGAAATGGGGACCTCAGTTGTGCAACCAGAAGGAACCTGAATTTGGTCAACAACCTGATTGAGCTTGGAAGTGAATTTCCCAGTTTCCACCAAGGAATGCAACCTTGAGACACCTTGATTTTTGGCCTCGTGAGACCCTAAGCAAAAGACCTAGCTAGCCAAGCCCACCCAACTTCTGACCTACAATAACTGTGAGATAACAAATTTGTGTTATTTTTAGCTACTACATTTGTGGTAATTTGTTATGGCAGCAGTAGAACACTAGTATAGATTTTGGTACCAGGAGTGGGGTACTATTACCTAAAAATGAAAGTGGCAGTAGATAAAGGTTAGAATTGTTTTGAGGGGCATGATAGAAAAGGCCTGGAACACAGGAGGATCGCTTGAGCCCAGGAAGTCAAGGCTGCAGTGAGCGGTAATGGCACCACTGCACTCCAGCCTGGGTGGCAGAGTGAGACCCTGTCAAAAAAGAAAAGGCCTAGGACATACTTTTAGTAGCAATATGGATGTTAATGACTCTGCTAGTGAGGGCCCAGACAGAAGTGAGGTCTTTCTTATTGGAAACTGGCAGAAAGGGGATCCTTGTTACATAGTAGCAACTAAGTTTAGCAGAATTGTATCCTATGGTTATATGGAAAGCCAAATTTGCAAGTGATGAACTTGTATATTTAGCTGAGATTTCCAAGCAAAGTATTAAATGTGCAGCCTGGTTTATTTGTGAATGTGAACTTTAATGGAGTGGACCCATGTGGAATACTTCCACAGCCCATTAGGTTCTTGAGAATTTTATGCCAACATAAACAGTTCTAGTTTGGATTGAAAGAGACAGAAAGTAATAGGGCTGTTGGACCCCCCAAATTCTACTGATAGGAAGCAGGCTGATAAAACTACTCACATGTGAATGTGTTGCTTTTCATAAAAGAATCAGGGTGACTCAGACGGAGATAGGAGAGCCCAGAGGGGTGGAGCTAAAAGCTGGAGAGGATTTTTCCCAGGCTTTGAAATGGAATGGAGATTCCCTAGATTTTGAAACTGCTTTGGACCGGAGGCTCTGTTTTCTTTTACATTTTGCCCATTTGAACTGGAATGTCTAACTGTTATTCTCTACATGTCTCACAGTGGTATGTTGGGAGTAGAGAACTTGTTTCTTTAGGAATTGTGCCCCAGGAATTGGACTTACTGTTTTGTCCCCAGAACCTCATCCACACCTGAATAGATGAATGAGATTTGGGACTTCTGAAATGATAAGCTTTAGATGGGAAACCTTTGGGACCTTGGGATGGGATGGATGTATTTTGCATTTGAGAGAGAGATGAATCCTTGGAAACCAGAAGGCAGACTGCGGTAAGCAGAATGGCTCCCCTACGATTTCCATACTATAAACCCTGGAACATGAATATGTTAAGTAGATTTAATTAAAGTTAAGGATCTTAGGTAGATTATCTTGGATTTTCTGGGTGGGTTTATTCTACTCACATAAGCACTTAAAAGCAGAGAACTTTTTCTGGCTGGTGTCAGAGATGAGGCAGAAGGGGAAGTCAAATTTGAAGCATGAGAAGGACTCAGCCTGCCGTTACTGGAGGGGACCAGATTGAAAGTGTGAGACGGGGAATGCAGGCAGCCTCTAGTAGGAAAGGCCAGTCCCAGCTGACAACCAGCAAGGAAGTGGGAACTCAGTCCTACAGCTGCAAGGAACTAAATTCAGCCAATAGCTTGAATGAATGTGGAAGCAAATTTTCCCCAGAGTTTCCAGCAGGGAACCCACCCACTGGATACCCTCATTTAGCCCTTGTGAGACCCAGTCAAGCCCACTGACTTCTGTAAGATAATCCATTTGTGTTGTTTTGTTTGTGATAATTTGTTATGACACAATGGAAAACAAATACAGGGGTTTTGCTGGTTTTATTTTAGAGTCTTTGGGATATCATTTTCTAGAGAACAAAGATAGCAAAGATTCTATAAAACAATTTAGTCCTGGAAGACTCCACGGAATAATGGTGTTGAGTGGAACCTGTGCCTGTTTCTTGATGTTTGAATATTATTATTGTCCTTAGATGCAGTTTGAAGGGGCTTGATGGTCAGCTTAGTGAGATGTAGTTTCTGAAGGTCTAGGACATTGGTAGGATTTCTGTAAATAGGTGGTTCTTCCATATCTTGGATAAATGACATAATTTCTTCATTAGTTTTTATTGGCTTAATAATGGGTTTCTATGACAGCCTTTTAAGGCTTATTTCATATTTTTTTAGAGGAGATGGAAATGGGTGATACATTTTTGTGAATTTGTAACTGTCTCTCTGTTCTCTCACACCTCCCACCCCACCCCAGCTCAGCTCAAACTTGTAAGATCTTTTCTCCCTGTCATTGTCTGTTGAGGTTGTTGAGTTTAAGAGTCAGATCTGGGAATCATCACTACAGAATGGAGTTTCTAGCTTTTAAGAAAAGTCTTTTCTTTTTGTTCTTTAAAGTATCCTATTAATTGGATTCATAAAATATGGACTAACTAAACTTTAGTCAGAGGATGAAGGAAGTGAGACCATTTCTTTTGAGTTATTACCTGAATAGAAAGATGATTACAAGATTAGCATTTCAGGGTATGAAAGACTTTAGAGGTTATGTTTGACTTTGGGTTTAGAGTAAGGGAAATTGGGCCACATGAATGTTAACTGGTCTACTAAGATATCTCAGCCCTAGAGCTAGTCTAGAATCCTGGTCCAGCCAATAGAGAATCATGACTTTTGAACTATGTTCCCTGAGTACCCTTTTCTACTGTTGGCCGGGCATGGTGGCTCACACCTGTAATCCCAGTTCTTTGAGAGGCCGAGGTGGGCAGATGACTTGAGGTCAGGACAAGACCAGCCTGGCCAACATGGTAAAACCCCATCTCTACTAAAATTAGCTGAGTGTGGAGGTGCGTGCCTGTGGTCCCAGCTACTCAGGAGGCTGAGAATCACTTGAACCTGGGAGACGGAGGTTGGTTGCAGTGAGTCAAGATCACGCCACTGCACTCCAGCCTGGGGGACAGAGCAAGACTCCGTCTCAAAAAAAAAAAAAAAAGATGTTAACTGTCTATAATATTCAACTATATGACAACTTTTGCATAAATATTACAGTATGATTTGTACAAGTTCAGAAACTGAAAACCAATATGATTTGCCATTGAATTAGGTAAGGGCTTAGTATTTTAAGGTAATAAATAATGTGATACTTGATTTGAAATGAGAAACTGGGTTTTGATCTGTCACAATTCGTGGGTAACCTGGATAAGGTTTGTTTCATGAGAGTATTAATGTGTTCTTATACCTGAATTTCTTTGAACTTCTGAAATGGATAATTTCGAAAGTAGCATGTCATTTAGTTTATAGAGAAATCTAGGCCAGCCAGCTTTTCAAATGAAGAAATTCCTCTAGGATTATTAAGGAAAAGTAGCTGCTGTCATTGTAACAAAGGATGTATTTTCATTGGGTTATAGACAATTGGTAGTTTTCTTACGTTGAGTGCTCCCAGATGTACTTTTTTTTTTTCACATGTAGAAGTCAAAGATTGAGTCTTTTAAAAAGTTTAAGGTGAAAGCATTCACAGTATCACAAGATACTGCTAAGAGTGGCATTTTAACTGGTTTCTACAAATTCTGTCTTTCAGTCTTAGACATTAAAAAACCCTACGTAGCAACAGTTGCTATGGTCGGCAAGCTTCTTTACATTCGTGGTGATAATGTTTTCTTGCATAGAAAATATTGTGTTATCTGAGGTGACAGTTTTAGGGTTAAATACCAAGGTACAAGTTAGATTAATGTTTTATAATTTTTTATGTGTGACATCTTAAATGCCCTTATATTGGCTGCTCTTTTCTTTTTATACTTTCTTGTCTTGTGGGTTTTTCTGACAGGTTTTTATTAGCTGAAACATTTTAATTTGCTTGGAAAAGTGAACATTTGAAATTTTCCTGAAGTTATGACTAATGCTTTAATGGGCATTTCTCAGTTTAGCTATCTCATCAATGTTCTATAAATTTTAAGAAAGCTACCCTGTTTAAAATGAATGGGTAAATTATTTTCCAAAAAATGGTATCATGTCATATCCAGAAATACGAGATGGTCATTTTGGGTTATTGAATTCATAACCACTCAGAAGATGTTGTTCATTCAGCAGATCCTGAGCGCCTGCCACGTTTCTGGCAGGCGTTGTGCTAAAGATCTCCAAACTGTCACTGCCCTCCAAGCTCAAAATTGAGTGACGTTTTCTGATAACAGGCATATCATACCACAACTTAGTAGATTTTGGAGGTGTTTTCTTATAATAACTCCTATTTGCTTTGTATCTTAGGTGTAGTTTTTGAAACAGCTGCAGAAATGAGAAGGGGGTAGAATAGAGAATTAATTGAGATTGCGGGTAGGGAGGGGAAGGCAATAGGTTAGTGGGAAAGAACTCCCACTTTGAGTTTGGGGAAGTTTACTTAACCTCTTCAAGTCTGGGAGTTCTTGTCTCTACAGTTCGGATAACAACTACCTTGGGCAACTTACTAACTTTTGGTTTCTTCACCTGTAACATGGGAATTAGTAGTACCTACCTCAGGATTTTTGTGAGGATTAATAACTAGAGTACTAGCTAGTATTATCTCAGGATTATTGAGGATTAAAGGAGAAAATTGATAAAATGTCTGGCATGTGGGTGCCCAACATTAGTTCTTTCCCTTCCCTTTCGGAGAAAAGAATGTGTTTATTGCCAGTGCTGTCATTCTTCATTCTTTATTTTCATTTTCTGCTGCCAAGAGTTCTTATTTTTTTAATGAGACTTTTGACCTGTACTTCCTTGTTTCTAATGTAGCCTGTTGGGTGGGTGAGGTATGAATTGCTGCCTAGGGGTGGATCAGTATGTAAGTCACGCCCAGTGTAGATTACCTCAATTACTCGTGTACAGTGTCTATTACCTAGTCCTGGTGAGTCTAGGATTCTTTTGCTTCTAGATAGAGAAGGTAATATTCCCATCTCAGACTCAGGAAAAGGTCTACCTTTGCTCACCTATAGACTTGTAAATATAGATCAGAGGTCTTACTCCCAGTGGTTCTCTGATCACAGTTTGGGAATTGCTTGAATATTGTGTGTTAGGGATATGTTTGGAGAAGGCCAGCTCCCTGCATTAACATCTTCTCTATGTCTTGCTCTCTCAGGTAATCCACTAACTTGCTTTCTTGTTTGCTTTGTATTATTAAGTGATAAACTGTAGGCAGACCAGGAACTTGTATTTATCGGCACTTTAAAACTTTTTTTTTTTTTTTTTTTGAGATGGAGTCTTGCTCTGTCGCCCAAGCTGGAGTGCAGTGGCGCAATCTCTGCCTCCTGGGTTCAAGTGATTCTCCTCTCTCAGCCTCCTAAGTAACTGGGATTACAGGTGCATGCCACCCCACCGGGCTAATTTTTGTATTTTTAGTAGAGGCGGGGTGTCGCCATGTTGGCCACGCTGGCCTCAAACTCCTGACCTCAGGTGATCCACCCGCCTCAGCCTCCCAAAGTGCTGGGGTTACAGGCGTGAGCCACCGCGCCCGGCCAGTGTTTTGTGTATTTATGATTATATAGAATGGCTACAAATGGCCATCTGCTTTGGAGTTGTCTACCTTTTGTGAAAAAATGAAAATAGACTATTGCCTAGCAATTAAGTATTCAAGCATGTATTTTGCCACATAATTTATTGTGAGAAGGTTATCAATGTCAAATAAAATGCTTTCATTATTTGCTTCTATTTGTCTGTCTTCCTGACCAGTTCATTTTTCCTTCCAGTGAAGCCATCTTGAGCTAGGGTTTTCTTTGTGGGTAGTTGTTAATTTTTTTTGTAGAGACAAGGTCTCACCATGTTGCCCAGGCTGGTCTCAAACTCCTGGGCTCAAGCAGTCCTCTTAACTCAGCCTCCCAAAGTGCTGAGATTACACTCATGAGCCACCACACTGGTCCGAAGAAATTTTTTTTTTTTTTTTTTTTTTTTTTTTTTTTGGGAGATAGCATCTCACTCTGTTGCCAGGCTGGAGTGCAGTGGCACGACCTTGGCTCACTGCAACCTCCACCTCCCGGGTTCAAGCAATTCTCCTGCCTCAGCCTCCCAAGTAGCTGGGACTACAGGCGCACGCTGCCACGCCTGGCTTTTTTTTTTTTTTGTATTTTAGTAGAGATGGGGTTTCACTGTGTTTCCCAGGCTGGTCTCTAACACCTGAGCTCAGGCAATCCACCCATCTCGGCCTCCCAAAGTGCTGGGATTGCAGGTGTGAGCCACTGCACCCAGCCTGGTCTGAAGAATTTTTAAACACCACAGCTAAGGACCTGAGCATTCATCTGCAGCTACCTATATGCTCTTGTTACATACAGTTGTTATACTAGGGGGTTTTTCACAGCCATCTTTTATGACTGTTTTTGGAAAACATCACATTGACCTTCATACATATTCAAAACTTTAGGCTTTGTTGCATCTGGAGTCCAACACTGAGGCCCACAGATGTCACCAGCCCCCAGCCAGCAAGGTGGGGCATGTCTCAGTTGTCTTCCTTTCTCCCTTCAGTAGCCACACAGAAAAGCTTTTCCATCATTTAAAATCTGATTTTTATACAATTGTGGCCTGGTGGCCAGCCCATTCAGGTAAAAGAATAATGAAGAAACCTGATTATTGAAACTCAGTATCCCACCCCTACCTTGCCTCCAAATTTAAAGCAGTTCATTTTATTATAGTGTTTTGGATAGGCTGTTAATAAATCAGTTTGGAGAACTAAGGAAATAGTATTAAATTTAGTGAAAAGAACCTATTTAGGCTTTGGATCCTAAACAGATCTGGCTTCCACCACTTAGTAATCCTGTTGTTTTTGGCAGATTATTTAACCTCTGAATCTGTTTATTTCTAAAATCAGAATATGCATCTGATACTGTGCCTGGTTTGTAAGAGGCATTCAAATGGTAACAGTAGTTATTACATTCATAAGTGCTGAATTTTTCTTTAGATTACTGTATATCCCAAATGAAGTTTTCCATCTTTTGGTTCCAGAGGGTAATAGCCAGTGGAGTAAAGTTTCACATTGTGACTTTATTTTGCTTATATGGCGTGGTAAAAAGGTGTATAGATGATGACTATATTGTAAGAGACAGTACTGGAATTCCGATTTCTCTTAGGTGTTTGGGGTAGAACTATTAATCCAAATCAAACTGCTTGGATTTTCTTCTAATACCTCCCTTCATTGGGAGACCTCACACTGTTGCTATGTCATTTATGTCACATTGACACTCAGATCCCTTTTCTGGGTTGAAGGTGGAGAAATGTAATTCACACAAAAGGCCCAAATGCTAATGTTTTCTGTTTTACTGTACTTCCTGGTTTGTTTTATGGAAGTAATACTTCCGTGTATTGGTTTAATTTTTTTGTATGTATGTATGTATTTATTTTGAGACAGCGTCTCGCTCTGTCACCCAGGCTGGAGTGCAGTGACATGATCTCGGCTCATTGCAACCTCTGCCTCCTGGGTTCAAGTGATGCTTCTGCCTCAGCCTCCCAAGTAGCTGGGACTACAGGTGTGTGCCACCACACCTGGCCTATGTGCATTGTTTTTAAAAACAAACATGTTGTATGTTTTGTATGTAGGAATAAAAGCAGAAGGCCCCTAGGGGCATGTTAGGATTTATAATCTCCTAAAGTTAAATATTCTGCAAGTTTACACAAGCAGTAACTTCATGAATTACTAAGTATTACTGAGAGTATTTATGTTCCAAATTCGAAGCCTTAATCAAACCAGAAAAAAACATATTCTGTTGGGTTTGAACAGGTAGTTTTCTTATTCATTGTATACTTAGAACCTTGGGACTTAAAGGTCAGAGAGTCAAGGGAACTGCCAAGGAGTTAGTTGCTAGATATTTTTTTGTTTTTTTGAGCTGTATATATTTCCCCACTTGAAAAAACAAAAACACTACTACTTATATGGCATTAGTATGATAGGTGAGAGAGAATGTTGTTGGCCATGGTTACCACCTTAAATTGACATGGGAAAAGAGAATCAATATGAAGTGGAGGAAAAAAAACAATAACTTCATTTAATCATACATTTTTACCGTTAACCTGTTTTCTTTTGGCTTATCCTTCTGAGCTAGGGTAAGGAGGCTTGTTTTGTCTTTGTTGTTTTTGTTTTTTTGTGTCAGTGACCTCCAAATAGATGATCTTCCAGACGAAATGGTTGCCTGTTAGTACATCTGGTCTATACTTGAAAGCTGCAAAAGGTGATTGCGTATCTCTTGAAATAAGAGGAATTGTGAAATAGTTTTCTCAACCTGCTGCATGGATTTTGACTATTCAGGTCGTGATCTCCACAAGTTATTTAAACTAGAATTTCTCAACCAGTGTATTGTGTTAGGGTGCGTTACAGATGTGTTGAGATACTGGTCCCCTCACACCTCTGGCCATTCATGCAGAATATAGTTTGGATACAGCATCCAAACTAATGACCTCAGATCCAGAGCAGTCTTGATCATTTACCCCATTGTGCCATACAAATATTATTTTCTGTCTTGACTGTAAAAAAGACTGGGAGCAGTGGCTCACACCTGTAATCCCAGCACTTTGGGAGGCCGAGGCGGGCAGATCACAAGATCAGGAGTTCAAGACCATCCTGGCCAACATGGTGAAACCCTGTCTCTACTAAAATACAAAAAAAAAAAAAAAAAAAAATTAGCCGGGCATGGTGGCGCTTGCCTGTAGTCCAGATACTCAGGAGGCTGAGGCGGGGGAATCGCTTGAACCCAGGAGGCGGAGGTTGCAGTAAGCCGAGAGCGTGCCACTGCACTCCAGGCCTGGCGACAGAGCGAGACTCCATCTCAAAAAAAAAAAAAGTTAAAAGTTTAGAAAAACTGGGAGCACTAATTTAGAAAGCTCAGTAATTGGATATCTGAACAGTTTTAAGATTCAAGGGGGTAAACAATCTGAAAATAATCTTGGTTTTAAGTTTTTAAAGCCATTTTAAGGTACCTCTCTGACCCACAAGTAATTCTCTTTGGACACATGATTCAAAGGATATGCTTTAAAATACAAGACTGTGAACAATTTAAGGTTGGACAGTAGTGAAGAAATTCAAGTTCTTATTTTCTAAGCAGTAATGTGAGGCAGAAGTAAAGTTCCCTTTTGTAAAACTGTTATCTCTACCTGACTAACTCTGAATGCTACTGTATCTTTTCTGAGGCTGACATTTTGTTAATCATTCATCAAGCTTGGGTCTCATACTCTGAAGCCTAGGATACATTGTCTTCTTGTCTTCCTTCAGGAAAGAATGGCATATACTTAGTTTGAGCAGTTTAATTTTTTAATATTTATGTAAATCACCAAGTTAGCCTTCTTAGATGAGTTTCTGTTTGTCTAACTCAGGAATTATTAATTTTGCTGGAGTTTACAGATTTCCTGAGCCTGTAATAATTTTTTTCTTCAAAAAAAAATGTACATGTACATGCTGCTTTATATACATTTACCAGAGAGTTCATGGCCACTGATCTCATTGTTGAGCTGCATTTTCAGTTCCAAAATTTGTGTAGTCTAAATAAGAGTTCCCCCATCTTATTATTTGTAAATTTATATATTTAGTATAAACCAGGGATTGATTGCTCAAATGCCTTCAGGAGTCGAGTCAATAAGGTAAATGAAGAGTTGTCCAGGTTTACGTGTGGTATCTCCATTGGGTGTCTGTTAAAAGAGCCAGTTGTTGGACAGTCACAGCTTAGCATATCCAGCAGGTTTTTGTCAGTGCAGGAATGAAGAGTCATTGTTACCAGACAGACAGACCTACCTGCCCTCCCTCCTGCTTTATTTCTTTTAAGAAATAGAAAGTTAAATTTTTTTTTAATTTTGGTAACTGTCACTTTGAAAAATATTAATTGTGAAAAATTTTAATACATAATTCACCTTAATACCTTTTCTTTTGTTTTTTGAGACGGAATTTCACTCTTTTCACCCAGGCTGGAGTGCAATGGCGCGATCTCAGCTCACTGTAACCTCTGCCTCCCAGGTTCAAGTGATTCTCCTGTCTCAGGCTCCCAAGTAGCTGAGATTACAGGTGCCCACCACCACACCTGGCTAATTTTGTATTTTTAGTACAAATGGGGTTTCATCATGTTGGCCAAGGCTGTCATGAACTCCTGACCTCAGGTAATCCGCCTGCCTCAGCCTCCCAAACTGGTGGGGTTACAGGTGTGAGCCACTATGCCTGGCCCCTGATTTACTTTTTAAAAACAGTGTGAAGGCTGGGCACTGTGGCTCATACTGTAGTCCCAACACTTTGGAAGGCTAAGATGGGATGATCGCTTGAATCCAGGAGTTCGAGACCAGCCTGGGCAACATGGCGAAACCCTGTCTCTACTAAAAATGCAGAAAATTAACTGGGCGTGGTGGCGCACACCCATAGTCCCAGCTACTTGGAAGACTGAGGTAGGAGGATCACTTGAGCTCAGGAGTGTGAGGCTGCAGTGAAGTGAACTATGATCATGCCATTGCACTCCAGCCTGGGTGACAGAGCAAGGTCCTGACTCTAAAAAAAAAAAAAAAAAGGAAAAAAAGTGAAAAACTTGTACACATATGCACCTAGCGACATTATTTCATAGTAGCCAAAAAGTGGAGACAGTCCAAATATCTGTCAGTGAATGGACAACCAGAATGTGATGTATTTATACAGTGAATTCAGCTGTAAAAGGAAATGAATTACTGATACTTGCAACAACGTGGATAAACTTGTAGACATTTTGCTAAGTGGAAGAGGCCACATATTGCATGATTCCATTTATGTGAAATGTCCATAATAGGCAAATACATGAAGACAGAAAGCAGATTATTGGTTGCCAGAGGATTGTAGGAAGAGGCTATTGGGAGTTAATCCTCTGAGGTACTGGGTTTCTTTTTGGGGCGATGAAGTGTTCTGGAATCAGATAGTGGTGATGGTTCCACAGCATTGTGAATATACGAAAACACACCATTTTAGGGTACTGATTGTACCCTAAAATGATGAGTTTTATGTTACATGGATTTTATCTCAATTTTTAAAAGTAATATGTGAGCCAAATAGGAGATATACACACAGAGTAGTCCTGTTCCCAGCCATCTGTGGGAAATATATTCCAAGATCCCCAGTGGATGCCTGAAACCACAGATAATACCAAACCTGATTATCATCAGTTGGAACACAGTTTTCTGTTGATGTCTTCTACCCACAAATTTAATGCCTTTTCCATTTTAACTAAGCATTTATCACATACTGCGGTCATAACTTTTGCAGTTTGAGGTACAACAGCAAAACAAATGTGAATTTATTTTTCCCTCTTCACATTATCACTGATAGAAGATTTGTTCTTACCATAGATCTTAGCAATTTCCACATATGATTTTTTTTTCCATATTAAGTCAAGAACTTTTACCTTTTTACTTAAAGGAAGCACTTTACAGCTTCACATTGGCATTTCCAGATTCTCAGCATCGCTACTCTTGCACTTTGGGGCATTTCTTAAGTAAAATAAGGGTAACTTGAAGACAAGCACTGCAATACTGCAACATTCAAGTAACCAAGAAGGCTACCAAGTGACTAATGAGCAGGTGGCATATACAGCTGGACAAAGGGATGATTCACATCCAGGGCTGGATGGTACTAGATGGTGCAAGATTTCATCACATTACTCAGAACCATGTACAATTTAAAACATGGCTGGGTGCAATGGCTCATGCCTGTAATCCCAGCACTTTGGGAGGGTAAGGCGGGAGGATTGCTTGAGCCCAGGAGTTCAAGACTAGCCCGGGCAACATAGTGAGAAACCTTCTTTACAAAAAAAAAAAAAAAATAGCCAGGAGTGGTGGTGCATGCCCGTGGTCCCAGCTACAAGGGAGGCTGAGATGGGAGGTAGAGGCTGCTACAGTGAGCTACGGTTGCACCACTGCACTCCAGCCTGGGTGACTGAGTGAATCCTCGTCTCTAAAAACAAACATGGAAAATAAAACTTATGACTTATTTATTTCTGGAATTTTCCATTTAATATTTTCAGACTGCAGTTGACTGCGGGTAACTGAAACCATGGGTATGGGGGTTGGCTGTGTTTGTGGTCACCAGTTTACAGTCCCTTGCTGTAGAACAGAAGAATAGGCTGTGAATCTAGACGAATGTTTTCCAATCACTACCTCTGACATTGGGAAGGTTATGCAGTTTTGCCTTCTGTAAAATGAGAAAGACATTACTTAGGTCATGGACTTGCTGGTTTAACAGTGATAAATCTGGCTGGGCATGGTGGCTCATGCCTATAATCCCAGCACGTTGGGAGGCCAAGGTAGGAGGATTGCTTGAGCTTAGGACTTCCAGACCAGCCTGGGTAACATAACAAGACCTCAGAACAAAAACAAAAGACATCTCAGAAAAAAAAACAAAAGAAAGAAAGAAAAAAAAGAAAAAATTTAATTAGCAGGGGACAGTAGTGTATGCCTATGGTCCCAGCTACTAAGGAAGCTGAAGGAGGAGGATTGCTTGAGCCTGGGAGGTCAAGGCTGCAGTCACCCACCCTGGGTGACAGAGCAAGACCCTGTTACACACACAAAAATGATAAATCCCAAGAATCAGTGACTGACATAGGCATTCACATAATATCTTCAGAATTGAAAGGCAACCAGTTTTTACTGCCCTTACTTCCAGCCTATTCTATTTTTGTCAGTTTTAGGACAACCTACCTTATTAGCTGTTGGTTATTGATCACCTGCGGAGATGATGGTTGTCTGCTATGTAACCTGCCACCATGGCAGTAAAGAAGGGAGTGGGGGAAGGGTGATAATCCTTATATTCTGCAGTTTTCTCACTTTAATCAGGTAGGTTAAATAACATATCCAACATCAGATGTAGGTTGTAGTGGTTCTAGTGTACTTATTCTTTCTGCAACCTTATGATGTCTTTTAAATCCAAGATCCTTTCAGTAACGGAGTACTGAACTGTTTTTGTAGCTCTATCAAGGCTTGTCAAGCAGTGTGCTCATCACATGGTAAATCATGCAGCGTGGAACCTCATAAAATCTCCAAGAAACATCATTCACCCATACTGACTAGTTTCACATCTCTTTGGTAAGTGATAGTAGGAAACCTTTTTCCCCTGGTTTAAAAAGGATGGATGCAATAACATTTATAGGTAAGACTGAGGAGCATTTTAAAAACCACAGGCCGGGCACAGTGGCTCATGCCTGTAACCCTAGCACTTTGGGAGGCTGAAACAGTTGGATCACCTGAGGTCAGGAGTTTGAGACCAGCCTGGGCAGTGTGGTGAAACACGGGGCATCCACCAAGAGAAATAAATCAAAGTCCAAGTACTTGAATTCATAATCTGAGGAGAGAGGTGTATGTAAACAAAACACATTCAGTGTGACAATGTCAGAGAGTATATGGGGTTGCTTTGGCCCTGTAGAAGAGGTACTTGGCCTGTTTTGGAGAAAGATGGGAATGCTTCATAGTGTGCTTCATAGTGGATGTAAAGTTTGCTGATTCTTGAAGGGTGAGTAGGATTTCCCCTAGCAAGCACTATTGGAAGGCATAATCAATGTATAAAAGCACAGAGACCTGGAGAGGAGTGGGAAGCAAGTTCAGTCAGTTTAAACAAATGTTTTGAAAATGTTAATCTGTGCAGTTCAAAGACATTAGAATAGAACAGGTTGAAACAATACTGATTGAATTTATTGGTTATGGGACTATTTATGGTTTTCATTTTTTGTGTCAGTTTTTGTTTTTTCTCCCTGAGAATCAGACTGGGATCTTGTATCAGTTTTGATAAATTATTTTTCTTCTGGGAATTTCAAGTTTGTGGGCACAAAGTTGTTCGTGATATTGTCTTATCTTTTTACCATCTGTAGGATCTGTAGTGATGTATCATTTCCATTCTTGATACTGGACATTTACCCTAATTCATCCCTCACTCCCTCATTTCCATTCTTGATATTGGACATTTACCCTAATATTCATTCTCTCTCTCTCTCTCTCTCTCTCTCTCTCTCTCTCTCTCTCTGTCTGTCTCTCTCTCTTTCTCTCTCTCTCTCTCATTCTTTCTTTCTTTTTTTGAGACAGAGTCTCACTGTCGCCAGGCTGGAGTGCAGTGGCATGATCTCAGCTCACTGCAACCTCTGCCGCCTCCCGGGTTCAAGCGATTCTCCTGCCTTATCCTCCTGCTGGGACTACAGGCGTGTGGCACCACACCCAGCTAATTTTTTATATTTTTAGTAGAGATGGGGTTTCACCATATTGGCCAGACTGGTCTCGAGCTCCTGACCTTGTGATCCGCCTGCTTCAGCCTCCCAAAGTGCTGGGATTACAGGTATGAGCCATCACACCTGGCCCTTCTTTTTTTTTTTCTTAAATCAAGCACACTTACATTTTTAATTTCTTCCCCCCCACCTGCAGAGGCAGGGTCTTTCTCTGTCGCCCTGGCTAGAGTGCAGTGACATGATCATAGCTCACTGCAGCCTCAAACTCCTGGGCTCAAGTGATCTTCCTGCCTTAGCCTCCTGAGTAGCTGGGACTCAGCTAATTTTTTCCATTGTTTTTATTATTAAAAACAATTTTTTTGAGATGGAGTCTCACTGTATTGCCCAGGCTGGTCTCAAACTCCTGGGCTCAAGCAGTCTTCCCGCTTCAGCCTTCCTAAGTATTGGGATTACAGTCATGAGCCACCATGCCTGGCCTAATTTTTAAATTATTTTTGTAGAGATTGGGGGTTGCACTCTGTTGCCCAGGCTGATCTCAAACTCCTGGACTCAGACAATCCTTTGCCTTGGCCTTTCAAAGTGTTGGGATTACAGGCATGAGCCACGGGCTCAGCACGAGCATTTTTAAAGACTCAATTGGTATTGTGGATCCTCTTTGTTTCATATTTCTTTGATTGCTGCTTTTCCCGTTTTTTTCCTTCTAGTTTCTCTGGGCTTCTGTTTTCAAATTTATTGAGATATGTGTAAGTTCTTAATTTTTAGTTTGCTTTTCTAAGTTCAAGTTTATGAATTTTTATTTTCGAATCAGGGCCTTGCTATGTCGCCCAGGCTAGAGTGCAGTGGCATAATCACAGCTCACTGCAGCCTCCACCTCCTAGGCTCAAGTGTTCCTCCCATCTCAGACTCCTGAATAGTTGGACCACAGGTGCATGCCACCACACCTGGCTTTTTTTTTTTTTTTTTTTTTTTAATAGTTTTAAGTTAAAAAAATAGAGACAGGGTCTCACTATGTTGCCTAGGCTGGTCTCCAAACTCCTGAGCTCAAGCAATCCTCACACCTTGGCCTCAGCCTCCCAAAGTGTTGGGATTACAGGCATTAGCCACTGTGCACAGCCTAATTATTATTATTTTTTTTTTCTTTTTTTTTTTTTTTTTGAGATGGAGTCTCGCTCTGTCGCCCAGGCTGGAGTGCAGTGGCACGATCTCGGCTCACTGCAAGCTCTGCCTCCCGGGTTCACGCCATTCTCTTGCCTCAGCCTCCTGAGTAGCTGGGATTACAGGCGCCCGCCACCATGCCCAGCTAATTTTTGTATTTTTAGTAGAGACGGGGTTTCACCATGTTAGCCAGGGTGGTCTCGATCTTCTGACCTCGTGATCCGCCCGCCTCAGCCTCCCACAGTGCTGGGATTACAGGCGTGAGCCACTGCGCCCAGCCGATTTTTAAAATTTTTATTTTTATAGAGGCGAGGTCTCGCCATGTTGCCCAGGCTGGTCTCGAACTCCTAGATTCAAGTAATCCACTCACCTCAGCCTCCCAAAGTGCTGGGATTACAGGCATGAGCAACCACACCTGGCCTAAGTTTATAAATTTCTAAGTCCTGCTTTAATTGTATCCCACGTTTTGAAATATCGTATTTTTATGAACAAACTCTCTATAGCCTATGTTTTTTTTTATTTAAAATTTATTGATTGATTGATTTTGAGGCAGAGTGTCTGTCAGCCAGGTTGGAGTGCAACACTGTGATCATAGCTCACTGAAGCCTCAAACTCCTAGGTTCACATGATCACTTCAGCCTTCTGAGTAGCTAGGACACAGGTGCATGCACCATACTTAGCTAACTTTTAAATTTTTCTGTAGAGATGGTAGTCTTGCTGTGTTGCCCAGGCTGGTCACGAACTCAGCCTCAAGCCATCTTTCCTCTTCAGTCTCCCAAAGTGCAGGGACCCCTGAGCTGTGCCCAGCTCTTAATTTCTAATTGATACATAATTGTACATATTTATGGGATATATTGTGATGTTTCAGTGCATGTATACATCGTGTATATAATATATACCCCATGTTTTAGATGTATCTCTTTTTTTTTTTTTTTTTTTTTTGAGATGGAGTCTCCGTCACCCATGCTGGAGTGCCCACTGCAACCTCCACCTCCTAGGTTCAAGCGATTCTCCAGCCTCAGCCTCCTGAGTAGCTGGGATTATAGGCACCCGCCACCACACCCAGCTAATTTTTGTGTTTTGTTGTTGTTGTTGTTTTTAAGTAGAGATGAGGTTTCGCTGTGTTGGCCAGGCTGGTCTCAAACTCCTGACCTCAAGTGAGCCACCACACCTGGCCTAGATGTATCTCTTTTATTTATTTGTTTATTAATTTTTTTTTTTTTTTTTTTGAGAAGGAGCCTCCCTCTGTCTCCCAGGCTGGAATGCAATGGCGTTATCTTGCTACAACCTTCGCCTCTCGAGAGTTTCAAGCGATTCCCCTGCCTCAGCCTCTAAGAGCAGCTGGGACTACAGGCACGCACCACCACACCCAGCTCATTTTTGTATTTTTAGTAGAGATGGGTTTCACTGTACTGGCCAGGGTGGTTTTGAGCTCCTGACCTCAGGTGATCTGCCCACCTCAGCCTCCCAAAGTGCTGGGATTACAGGCGTGAGCAGCTGCACCCGGCCTAGATGTATCTCTTTTAGACAGCATGTGATAGAATTTTTTTCCTTTTTTTAAATTTTTTTTTAAATTAATACACAGTAAAATTGACTCCTTTTTGTGTATACTGTTCTATGAATTTTAATACATACATAGATTCAAGTAACTACCATCACAACTGGGACATAGAATAGTTATATCACCTTCTGCATGTTACCCTTGGTAACATACCTAGCCTCCCACCCCTAATCTCTAGCAACCACTGTTCTGTTCTGAGTTACTACAGTTTTTTTTTTTTTTTTTTTTTTTGAGATGGAGTCTTGCTCTGTCGCCCAGGCTGGAGTGCATTGGCGTGATCTCAGCTCACTGCAAGCTCAGCCTCCCGAGTAGTTGGGACTACAGGCGCCCACCACCGCTCCCGGCTAATTTTTTATATTTTTAGTAGAGACGGGGTTTCACCGTGTTAGCCAGGATGGTCTCGATCTCCTGACCTTGTGATCCATCCGCTTCGGCCTCCCAAAGTGCTGGGATTACAGGCGTGAGCCACCGTGCCCAACCTCACTACAGTTTTATCTTTTCGTGAATGTCATATAAATGAAATCAAACATTATGTAATATTTTGAGACTGGCTTATTTCATTCAGCATACTGCCTCTGAGATTCATCAAAGTTATTGTGTGTGTAAATGGTTAGTTCCTTTTTATTACTGAGTAGTATTCCATTTATGGATAGACTATAGTTATTTTTATCCATTCACTCCTTGAAGGACATTTTGGTTTTCATTCTTTGGTGATTATGAATACAGTTGCTGTGAACATAACATTATAGGCTTTTGTGGACCTAAGTTTTCATTTTTCTAGGGTAAATAACTGTGAGTTGGATTGCTGGGTCATATGAAAAATGTACATTTAACTTATTTATAAAGAAGTTGCCAAACTGTTTTCTAGAATGGCTATACAGTACTATTTTGCGTTCACACTAGCAATGTATGAGTTTCAGTTTTTCCTCATCTTCTCTAGCATCTCATCCTCTTTAGCATTTCAAGTTAAATATTGGCAGTATTTAACTTGTAATGTTGAAAATTTTAGGTTTACAGAAGTTACAGATAGAATCTCCATATATGCTTCCCTCAGTATATCCTAATGTTCACATCTTGCCATAACCGTGATATGTCATCAACACTAAGAAACTGGGCCAGTCATGGTGGCTCACACCTGTTATCCCAGTAACTCTGGAGGCCGTGGTGGGGAGGATTGCTTGAGGCCAGGCGTTTGAGACCAACCTGGTTCTCAGAAGTTAGGTGGGCATGGTGGCATGTGCCTGTAGTCCTAGCTACTTAGGAGGCTGGGGCAGGAGGATCGCTTGAGCCCAGGAGTTTGAGGCTGCTGTGAACTGGGAGAGCTAGGATCACACCATTGCACTCCAGCCTGGGTGACAAAGTGAGACCCCATCTCTAAAAATAAATAAATAAATAAAATAATTAAGAAATTAACATCGGTATAATACTATTAACTAAACTACAGGCTTTGTTTGGATTTTACCAGTTGTATCCTTTTTCTGTTCAAGGAGCCAGTCCAGGATACCACATTAATTTAGTCATCATGTCTCCTTAGTATCCTCCAGTCTGTGAAGCTTCTTAGTCTGTCTTTAATTTTCATTACTTGGAAACTTTTGAAGAAGACTGGTGATGTATGTTATAGAATGTCCTTCAATACAGGTTTGATGTTTTCTCAAGATTAAATTGTGGTTATGGATTTTTGAGAAGACTACCACAGAGGTGAAGTGCCCTTCTCATCACATTATATCAGGGGCATATGATGTCAAAGTGACTTAACACTAGTGATATTTCAGTAAAGTCTGCCAGGTTTTTCTACTGTAGAGTTGCTATTTCTCCCTTTCCAAGCCCATTGGACTTAGGAATACCCTTGTAATGAATAAGCATGGAAAGGGAGAAATTTAGGCTCTCTTTCCATGCTTACTTATTTCCTTTCCTTAAAGGAGAAAAATTGAGCTCCACCTCCTAGATTCCTCACATGTGCAGTTCACAATAGGGTTCTCCTATGAGAATCTAATGCTGTTGCTGATGGGACAGGAGGCAGAGCTCGGGCAGTAATGCGAGTGACTCCCGCTGCTCACCTCCTGCTGTGTAGCCTGGTTCCTAACAGGCCATGAACTGGTACAGGCCCATGGCCCGGGGATTGGGGACCCCTGATATAAATGGAAGTATACAATATGTAGGCTTTTGTTTCTGGCTTCTTCACTTTTAAGATTCACCATGTTGGTCAGGTGTAGCAGCTCACACCTGTAATCCTAGCACTTTGGGAGACTGAAGCCAAAGGATTACTTGAGGCTAGACGTTTGAGACCAGCCTGGGCAACAAAGCGAGACCCTGTCTCTACCAAAAAAAGAAAAACGATTCATCCATTTTGTTGCACAAATCAGTAATTTGTTCCTTTTTATTGCTAAGCATCACATGGCAAACCATTTGTTTGTTCATGTAACTGTTGGACACCTTGGTTGTTTCTGTTTTTTCACAATTATGAATAAAGCTGCCTTAAATGTTTGTGTATAAGTTTTTGTGTAGATACGGGTTTCCGTTTCTCTTGAGTAAATACCTAGGAGTGGGAATGCTGGTTGTATGCTTAAGTACATGTTTAACTCTATAAGAAACTGCCAAACTGTTTTCCAAAACCATTTTGCATTCCTACCAGGAATGTATTAGTTACTGTTACTCTGCATCCACACCAGCTTTTGGTATAGTTTTGTTTTCTGTTTTTTTAAATTTTAGCCATTTTAATAAATCTGTAGTGGTAGTTGTATGATTTAATTTCATTTTCCCTGCTGTCTGGCAGTGTTGTGTATCTTTTCATATACTTATGTGTATATCTTCTTTTGTGGTGTGTATGTTCACGTCTTTTGCCCATTTTTAAATTGAGCTGTTTTCTTATTGAGTTTTTTAATGTTACAGATACAAGTTCTTTATTCGATTTGTGATTTGCAAATACATTCTTCTTGTGTCTGGCTTATTTTCTTAATAGTGTCTTTCACAGAGCAGAAATATTTTAACGTTGATGAAGTTCAGTTTATCAGTTTTACAGCCCATGCTTTTAGTGTCATGTCTTCAAACTCTGCCTAACCCCTGGTTGCAAGAAGGTTTGATAATTTTACATTTATATCTTTTTTTTTCCCCCCCAGAGGTAGAGTCTTGCCTTGTCACCCAGCCTGGGATTATACAGTCATGAGCCACCGCATCTGACCCAAGTTTTACATTGATATCTGTGATTCATT